>NW_016107306.1:0-178197 GCF_000001405.40 Homo sapiens | reverse complement strand
TGAGCTGAAGGAGATTGAGACACGAAAAAGCATTCAGAAGATCAGCAAATCGAGGAGTAGAATTTTTGAAAAAATTAGTAAGACAGATGACTAGTTAGACTAATAAAGAAGAAAAGAGAGATGATCCGGATAAACACAATTAGAAACAACAAAGGGTATATTACCACTCACCCCACAGAAATACAATCATCAGAGAATATTATGAACACCTCTATGCACACAAACTAGAAAATCCAGAATAAATGGAGAAATTCCTGGACACATACACCCTCCTGAGATCAAACCAAGAATAAATTGAATACATGAACAGACCAATAATGAGCTCCAAAATTGAATCAGTAATAAAAATCCTACAGACCAGAAAAAGCCCAGTACCAGACAGACTCACAGCTGAATCCCATCTGATATATAAAGAAGAGCTGGTACTATACCTACTGAAACGTTCCAAAAATATTCAGGAGGAGGAATGCCTCCCCAGCTCATTCTATGAGACCAGCATCATCTTGATGCAAAAACATGGCAGAGACACAACAAAACCAGAAAACTTCAGGACAATATCCTTGTTGAACATAAATGCAAAAATCCTCAACAAAATACTAGCAAACTATCCAGCAGCACATCAGAAAGCTAATCCACCACCATCAGGTAGGCTTTATTTCTGGGATGCAAGGTTGATTCGATATAGGAGTCTCGCTCTGTTGCCCAGGCTGGAGTGTAGTGGCGTGAACTTGGCTCACTGCAAGCTCCGCCTCCTGGATTCACGCCATTCTCCTGCCTGAGCCTCCCGAGCAGCTGGGACTACAGGTGCCCACCACCACGCCTGGCTAATTTTTTTGTGTTTTTTAGTATAGACGAGGTTTCACCGTGTTAGCCAGGATGGTGTCGATCTCCTGACCTCATGATCCACAAGCCTTGGCTTCCCAAAGTGCTGGGATTACAGGCATGAGCCACAGTGCCCGGCCAATATACACAAATCTTAAATATGATTCATCACATAAATAGAACAACCCTCCCCACACACATAATCCTCTCAATAGAGCTTTTGATAAAATTCAACATCCCTTTATGCTAAAAAACCTCGACAAACTAGGCATTGAAGAAACATATTTCAAAATAATAAGAATGATGTATGACAAACTCACAGTCAACATCATATTGAATGGGCAAAAGCTGGAAGTATTCCCCTTGAAAACTGGCAAAAGACATGGATGCCGTCTCTCACTACTTCTGTTCAACATAGTACTGGAGGTCCTAGCTAGAGCAATCAGGCAAGAGAGAAATAAAAGGCATCCAAATAGGAAGAAAGGAAGTCAAACTATCCCTGTTTGCAGGTGATATGATTCTATACCTAGAAAACCACAGTCTCTGCCCAAACACTTCTTAATCTGATAAACAACTTTAGCAAAGTTCCAGGATACAAAATCAATATATAAAAATCAGTAGCATTCCTATACACCAAAAACATCTAAGCTGAGAGCCAAATCAAGAATAGAATCCATTCACAATTACTGCAAAAAGAATAAAATACCTGGGAATACAGCTAACCAGGGAGGTGAAAGATCTCTGCAAGGAGAACTACAAAACACTGGTCAAAGAAATCATAGATGACACAAACAAATGGAAAAACATTCCATGCTCATGGATAGGAAGAATGAGTATTGTTCAACACACAAATAATTCAGGCTTTAGAAGGAGCTGGAAGAGAGAAGACATGGATGGACGTGGGGCTCACACCCATTAGGAGGCTAAGGCAGTAGTAGTTGGGGTGGCAGAATATTCAGTAGTACACTAAGACTGCCTCATGCTTAGTACTGCAGTAGTACTACAGAATGCTAGAGTGTTCAGTAGGGTTAGACTATGGCAGCATCCTTTTAAATGAAGTGACGGGAGGAAGTGGGTTGCTAAAACAAAATAGAATCAGCATAAGGAAGGATATTGGGCAGATGACTCCTGACTTCCTCATTCTTGCAGTTTGAGCATTCAGTAAATTACAGATCCTTCATGGACAGTCTAACACAGGCAAGGACTAACTATAAATCCAGGCCTGAGCATTAATGAGTCTGAAGGGTTTGGAGATAACAAAGTGAGATAGAAATTATGCAAGAGAAGCACAGCAGAAACAACTAGAATGGGGATTAAAATAAGAATGGTGCTTCAGGCTATTCTTCAATTTCTTTATCCTAGAGCTCCCAAGAGGGTCTAAAGGGGCTGGGAGAGATTTACAGGACACTTACCTTCCTGTGCCTGAATCCTCTGGCCCAGACAGAGCACTGGAAGAGAGAGATTTATGAAAAATCAAGCTTCCATTTCCAACCTTTACGACAAATCACCCTCTGTAATGACAGACCAGAAAAAGACCAGTACCAGATGGATTCACAGCTCAATCCCACCAGATATATAAAGAAGAGCTGGCATTTTTTTTTTTTTTTGAGACAGAGTCTCGCTGTGTCGCCCAAGCTGGAGTGCAGTGGCATGATCTTGGCTCACTGCAAGCTCTGCCTCCCAGGTTCATGCCATTCTCCTGCCTCAGCCGCACGAGTAGCTGGGACTACAGGCGCCCGCCACCACGCCTGGCTAATTTTTTTGTATTTTTAGTAGAGACAGGGTTTCACCATGTTGGCCAGGATGGTTTTGATCTCCTGACCTTGTGATCCGCCTGCCTTGGCCTCCCAAAGTGCTGGGATTGCAGGTGTGAGCCACTGCGCCCGGCCAAGAAGAGCTAGTATTATTCCTACTGAAACTATTGAAAAAAATCCTGGAGGAGGGACTCCTCCCCAACTCATTCTATGAGGCCAACATTATCCTGATAACAAAATGTGGCAGAGATACAACAAAAACAGAAAACTTCTGGATAATATCTTTGTTGAACATAAATGCAAAAATCTTCAACAAAATACTAGTAACCATATTTCTATATGGGGTTCTATCATATGTTTTCCTTCCACAACAATCACAGTTTTGAGGTTCATTCTTTATTTTTACCTTTCAGATTCCAGCCTCTAAGTCTCTCCTTGATAAGAACCTTGGGACCATCATGAATCCCAGATAACACACTATAGGTTTAATACAAATATTAAACCTTGAGCCCCACAAGCTAGCTTGGGCTTGGGTAGAGACAAAGTTATAGATACATTGACAAAGACGGCCTTTCCACTAAGGAGATCAGAATCTCCTTGGCAGCCACTAAAATCTCCTAGTCACACTGTTAAGAGACACCCTGATTATTTTGGGATTTCTCTATCTTCCCCTCTAACCCACTTTTACTCTGAAACTCACCAAGACACAGGAGGGTGGTCTGTTTGGGGTCCATCGTGCTGACACGGCCTCAGCCCCGTTGCTCTCCTTTCAATGCACATTAGCAGGATGACAGATATTCTTACGACAATAAGCTCCGCAGGAAGTATGAGGACAGAGCCCCTCGTCAGGGAATTTCCACATCTATTGCCTCACAACAAAGTGGAACAGTTCGTTGCCGAATAACTTAGTTCCAGGTTGCTCTTGGGTGGAGCCCAAGAGAAGACATATATATGTATATTTTTTTAAATAGAGATGGGGTCTTTCTATGTTGGCCAGGGTAGTCTCTAACTTCTGGCATCAAGAAATCCTCCTGCCTAAGACCTATATTTCTATTTATGTTTCAGATGAGAAACGAATGAGAAGTGAATTTTCATTAAGCCAGTGTCTAATGGTGTTCAAATTCATCTTTGAACCAGATGCTACATCCAAATAGACGGGCTTGGGACAGAATATAAGGTGGTGGATACCATACAGGCAGACATTGCCTTCACTGGGCCATTAGTCAAAAGCTCTGTGGCTTTGTCTGTTCTGAACCTATGTTTCATCTCTGAGATTCATGGTCTGAGTATATTTACTTGGACTTGACCAGGCATGCAGTATACCCTTATCCTGGAGATGATCTCAATGCCAGAGTGTGGAGGCATTTTCTCTGGCACTATTTGTCATCTCTAAAGAAAGAATCTACTATTTTATTATACTTTTTTGTTTATTTGTATAAATTTAAGGAGCGCAAGTGAAATTTTATTACGTGGATATTTTGTGTAGTGGTGAAGTCTGGGCTTTTAATATAATTATCCTCAAATAATGTACATTGTTGCTCATTGAGTATTTTTTTAACTTTTATTTTAGGTTCAAGGGTACATGGGAAGGTTTGTTATACAGGTAAACTTGTGTCATGGGGGTTTGTTGTACAGATTATTTCATCACCTAGGTAATAAGCTTGGTACCTAATAGTTACTTTGCCTGCTCCTTTCCCGCCTCCCACCCTCCACCCTAAAGGAGACCCCATTGTCTGTTTTTCCCTTTTTTGTGTTCATGAGTTCTATTATTTAGCTTCCACTTATAAGTGAGAACCTGCTGTATTTGGTGTTCTGTTCTTGTATAGTTTGCTAAGGATAATGGCCTCCAGCTCCATCCATGTTTCCACAAAACATATGAACTCATTCTTTTTTTATGGCTTCAAATTAATTTTATTTTTATCTTATTATTTATGTTATTTTGATTGTAGACTCCTGGCTATCACGAATTCTTCAGGTATGGAGAGTGAAATATTCCTAATTAAACCTTCTACTATTTTATTTTATTTTATTTATTCTTTTTTTTTTTTTGAGACGGAGTCTTGCTCTGTCGCCCAGGCTGGAGTGCAGTGGCGTGATCTCAGCTCACTGCAAGCTCCACTTCCCGGGTTCATGCTATTCTCCTGCCTCAGCCTCCCGAGTAGCTGGGACTACAGGCATCCGCCACCACGCCCGGCTAATTTTTTTTGTATTTTCAGTAGAAACGGGGTTTCACCGTGTTAGCCAGGATGGTCTCGATCTCCTGACCTCGTGATCCACCCACTTCGGTCCCCCAAAGTGCTGGGATTACAGGCGTGAGCCACCGCGCCCCACTTTATTTTCATTTTAATACATCATAACTTAGCCCTTCCAACGCCGAAGTATTTTGAAGTCCTGAGCTTGTCCCATATTTCAGAAAGCCGATCAGCTTCCATGTTGACTGTTTCATTTGTGCAAATTTAAGTGACCTTTTGTTTTGCCACATTTTGTTAATTTCCACATACATATTTACGTTCGGGAAATTTGGAAATACTACGTTCTGGAAATTTGGTGTTGATGATTGCATGAAATTGACCGCATTCTAATTTTCTTTTTTTGTTGTTTTGTTACTTATGCCTTATTTATTCATTCCTTTGTTCTCACTTGAATGGGACTTTGGGTGAAAGACAAATAATGGCTGTACTCTTAGTTGAGTATTTAAAATGCAGAGATTGTAAAGGCAGGATGACCTAATTAAAAATACTATTGTTGGCTGGGTGCAGTAGCTCATGCCTGTAATCCCAGCACTTTGGGAGGCCAAGGCAGGTGAATCACTTGAGTTCAGGAATTTAAGACCAGCCTGGTCAATGTGGTGAAACCCAGTCTCTACTAAAAATATAAAAAATTACTTGGGTGTGGTGGCGGGTGCCTGTAATTCCAGCTACTCGGAAGGCTGAGGCAGGAGAGCCACTTGAACCCAGGAGGCAGAGGTTGCAGTGAGCCAAGATCACTGCACTCCAGCCTGGGCAACACAGAGCGAGACTGTGTCTCAAAAAAACAAAAGCTATTGTTATGGTTTACAAATGACGTGGCTTTCTATTGGGAGAGAGATACTTACTAATTGTTGAATTTCAGGAACTTCAGTGGCCAATATTTACTAATGGGCTGGAACAGATTTTGTCAACTTACCACAACATTTGGTGTGGTTTTGTTCTTTTGTTTCCTCCTTTTGTGGAACAGGAATGGTAACGTAGCCATGGGGTGCTGAGATATTTGGTTAAACATTATTCTGTGTGTGTCTGTGGGGGTGTTGCTGAATGAGATTATCAATGGAATTAGTGTAATTTATAAAGCAGATTGCTCTCCCTAATGTGAGTCGGCCTCATTCAATCAGGTGGGACCTGAATAGAACAAAACATTGAACTGGTAATGTAAGATGAAGTTCCTTTTGCCTGGACATCAGTCTTTTCTGGCTCTTGAACTCTCACTAAAACATTGACTCTTTAGATGTTAAGCCTGCCAGCTTTTTTTGTTTGTTTGTTTTTTTGAGATAGAGTCTCACTCTGTCACCCAGGCTGGAGTGCTGTGGCATGATCTCGGCTCACTGCAACCTTCACCTCTTGGGTTCAAGCAATTCTCGTACCTCAGCCTCTGAGTAGCTGGGATTACAAGCGAATGCCACTATGCCCGGCTAATTTTTGTATTTTTAGTAAAGATGGGGTTTCACCATGTTGGCCGGGCTGGTCTTGAACTCTGACCTCAGGTGATCTGCCTGCCTTGGTCTCCCAAAGTGTTGGGATTACAGGCGTGAGCCATCATGCCCGGCATGAGCCTGCTAGCTTTTGGACTGTTACGTATACCACTAACTCTACTGGTTCTCAGACTTTTGCACGTAGACTGGAACTACACGTGGACTCCCCTGGGTCTCCAGCTTGCAGATGGCAGATCATGGGACCTGTCAGTCTACATAATTGCATAAGCCAATATATAAATACCCTATCTGTGTATCAATCATTATATATCTGTCATTATCCAACTATATGTCTATCATTATTTGTGATATCATTATATATCTATCATTATTTGTCTATCAATCATTATCTATATATCTATCATTATTAGTGTTGATTATTTTTTTTTCTGGAGAACCCTGACTACTATAGCTTCCATGTTCCTGTCTCAACTGTCACCAGTCCCCTTAGCACAGGGCCTATCATAGCCATTCTACGGCCCAAGGAATTACAAGCCACATAACTACAGGAGTCACAGTGACCCAAGGATTTAGACGGAGACACGGAAGAATTGAGGCATCTATTGGTCTCTGCATATTTTGGGATTTGGGATTTCCCAGCAGGGAAATTTGCCTTGAATCTGTCTAACTGGTCACTAAGAGTTGATTGGTAGGTTCCATTCTCCGTGCACAGCATAAACCCTAATAAGCCCAAACTGACTGGCAGTGGAGACTCTCAACCCTCAATGGGACCAAACTGTGACTGGCAGTGGAGACTCTCAACCCTCAATGGGACCAAACTGTGACTGGCAGTGGGGACCTTCAACCCTCAGTGGGACCGAACTGTGACTGGCAGTGGGGACCTTCAACTCTCAGTGGGACTTTACAGCACTCAGCTGCACCTGTGTGGAGAATTTGTCTCAAACACCTAAGAAGGAAGGAGGCCTTTGTTTCGAGGAAGAAGAAGGGGAGCTGCTTCTCTATCCACTGACCTCAGAGGTACCGGAGAGTGTCCAGTGAGGGCCTTAACTCTCTGCAGTATTTTTTTTTTTTTTGAGATGGAGTCTCACCCTGTCGCCCAGGCTGGAGTGCAATGGCAGGATCTCGGCTCACTGCAACCTCTGCCTCCCCAGTTCAAACGATTCTCCTGTCTCAGCCTCCTGAGTATCTCAGATTTACAGGCACCTGCCACCATGCCCAGCTATTTTTTGTATTTTTAGTAGAGACAGAGTTTCACCATGTTGGCCAGGCTGATCTCGAACTCCTGACCTCGTGATCTGCCCACCTCCGCCTCCCAAAGTGCTGGGATTATAGGCGTGAGCCACTGCACCCAGCCACTCTCTGCAGTTTTAAAGGCCATTTCCATGAATTAGAGTATACTTAGGCACTGAGGTAAGCATGGCACAGCTTTCTGAAAATAAAGTTGAAACTTAGAGGTTTCTTTTAGCTTTATTGAGATATGATTGACAAATGGAAATTGTATATATTTAAGGTGTATTACACTTGATGTTTTGATGTATGTATACATGGTGACATGATCATCATAGTCAAGCTAGTTATATCCATCATCTCGCAGGGTTATTGTTTTTTTTTTTTTTTTTTTTTTGAGAGGAAGTCTTACTCTGTCCCCCAGGCTAGAGTGCAGTGGTGCCATCTTGGCTCACTGCAACCTCCGCTCCCAGGTTCCAGCAATTCTCGTGCCTCAGCCTCCTGAGTAGCTGGGATTACAGGCTTGTGTCACCACGCCTGGCTAATGTTTGCATTTTTAGTAGAGACAGGGTTTCACCATGTTGGCCATGCTGGTCTTGAACTCCTGACCTCAAGTGATCTGCCCGTCTTGGCCTCCCAAAGTGCTGGGATTACAGGCGTGAGCCACCGCGCCCGGCCTATGGTTTCTTTTTCTTTCTTTCTTTTTTTTTTTTTTGTGGTGAGGACCCTTAAGATCTACTCTCCCAGCCGGGCGTGGTGGCTCATGCCTGTAATCCCAGTACTTTGGGAGGCCGAGGCAGGCGGATCACGAGGTCAGGAGATCGAGACCATCCTGGCTAACACAGTGAAACCCCGTCTCTACTAAAAATACAAAAAATTAGCAGGGCGTGGTGGCGGGCGCCTGTAGTCCCAGCTACTCGGGAGGCTGAGGCAGGAGAATGGCGTGAACCCAGGAGGCGGAGCTTGCGGTGAGCCGAGATCGCGCCACTGCACTCCAGCCTGGGTGACAGAGCAAGACTCCAGCTCAAAAAAAAAAAAAAAAAAAAAATCTACTCTCCCATGCTTGCCTCGGCAGCACATATACTAAAATTGGAACGATACAGAGAAAACTAGCATGGCCCCTGCGCAAGAATGACACGCAAATTCGTGAAGTGTTCCATATTTAAAAAAAAAAATCTACTTTCCTGGTAAATTTCAAGTATAGAGTACAGTATTGTCAACCATAGTGGCAAAGCTGTACAAGAGATCTTCAGACCCATTCCTCCTGAATACCTGATAGTTTGTATCCTTTGATCAACATCTCCCAATTCCCTCCCCCACACTGTCCCTGTAGTTCTAGTGAGTTTCCCAGACTCTGATGTCTCAATTTCATTCAGTCACTTTCCTCCAGATACATCTACCCATTCCTACTGCATCTTAGTATCCTGAGCCTTGGGGGCAGTTTCTGTGCCAAGTGGAAATGTGGAAATGAGATATTACGAAGAAAAATCTTTGCCCACCTAGACAGGGATCTGATGTTTTCCAAGATGACACATGATTACATGTTGAAATGATAATATTTTGAGTCTACTTGTATAATAAAATAATATTTTGGATCTATTAGGTTAATATTTTGGGTCTGTTGGGTTAATAATATTTTGGGTCCATTGGGTTAACTTAAATTAATTTTATCTGTTTCTTGTTAGCTTTTTAATTTGGATACTAGCAAGTTTGAAAGAATGCATGTGGTTTGCATTATGTTTCTATAGGACAGAACTTACCTGTAGATGTAAGGGAGTCACAACAAAATTACAAGCATTGTTTTTGGTGGAAATGAGAAAAATGATTACAAATTTACATGGAAAAGCAAATAGCCAATAATAATAATAATGGCAATCTTAAAGAGGAAGGAGAAATTAGAGGATTCAGGCTGCCAAATTTTAAGGGGTTCTATAAGGCCACATAAAGTGCAGCATCCTCATGAGAGTGGACACAGAGAGCCACTGAGCAGAAAAGAGTGTGTAAAATACATCTGTGTACACACAGTCCTTTTATAGTTGACAGAGGCTGCCATGCGGATTAAGGTGGAATAGAATGTCTTCTCAGTAAATAACATTGGACCAGAGGGTTACAAGCAGGAAAAAATAAATCTAAGCTTATTTTCACACCATAAAAACACTGCTAATTTTTTATCTTATTATCATACATTTTGATGATTTATTTATAAAATTGATGAATGAAAATTATATACAGTTGTCCTTCACTATTCATGGGTGATTGGTTCCAGGAAACCCCCCTCCCTACCAGACACCAAAATCTGCAGATGCTCAAGCCTGTTGCATGAAATGGCACAGCGTTTGCATATAACCCATGCACATCCTCCTGTATACATGAAATCATCTCTAGATTACTTATAATTCCTGATACAGCCTACACACCACCTCACTTGTGTCCACACAATATAGTATTTTTGCTTTTTGGAACTTTGTGGATTTTTTCTCTGAATATTTTTGATTTATATTTGGTTCAATAAACACCTGTAAACCCCACAGATATGGAGGAGCGACTGTATATTTATAGTATGAAAGATGATGTGTTGACATGTGTCCCTGTGGAGATGAGACTAACAAGGCCTATGACTCTACAAATGTTTCATCTTGGAATGACTCTGCCAGCTTTCCAGGTCTGCAGAGAGTAAGAATATCACTTGTTCATGTGATTCACGATCCTTGGAACCTCCTATGTGCTGCATCTTTGGATGGAAATTGGAGTCCCAGAGACAAATGAGGCTCCACCCTGCTTCCAGAAGCTCAGAGTCCAGGGCTGAGAACCCAGTAGAGAACATATCAGGTTATATGGACATAGTAATGATAACACTGGAAACTTTTGGCGAATAAAGAGTCACATTATCGAAACCATGAGGGCAGACATGTTTATTTGAAGAGGAGAGAGCTACACTGAAGTTATAAAAAAAATTTATAAATTTTACTGATGACAGAAGGCTGAAAGATAGTCTGAGGGGAGGTGGAACAGCATGAGGGAAGGTGGAACAGCAAGTGTGTAAGTGCCGTGTTAAGAGGGAGCCTCTTGTATGTTTGGAATTGTGAGTTCCTCAGTGTGATTGCAGCCTCAAGTAGGACTAGGAAGTAAGCCAGTTAGGTTGGAGAGGTGGGCAGGGGTCAAGTGAAATAGATACTTGTGGGCTAAGCAAAGGAGTGTGTTTTCTCTGCAGCAGGCAGTGGCGACCTTAGGCATTTGTAAGCAAGAGAGAGGCATGTTCAGATTCGTGGTGTGAGGAAGAGCGATCCCCTAAGATGCAGACTGATGCCTTCAGATTCCAGCTGCTGGTTCATTGGATCTGGCAACCTGGTTTTGAGACAGGGCTGTTGTCTCCCTAGAAAACCCCCTCAAGACCTGACTGTGGTGCTCGTGGGCAGGAGACAACTTTGGATCTGGGCTCAGCATTTGGAAGTTCCGTGTACACGCTGGTATCTGTTAGGGGTGTCTTGGGCCTCTGAGAAGGGCGACTGATTTTTCTCTGTATGAAAACGCAGTGATCCAACTGTGCGTACGTCACCTCCTGAGGGTCTTGTTCATCAGAGTCCTGGAGAGAGGGAAATGCTGAGTGAGGGAGGGTGCTCACATTTTTCAGGACTATTAGGGATAAGACTGTATCCGTGAGGCTGGGCCGAGGAGGACCTACCTGCCTATTCACTGTTCTGTCCCCCGCAGGCTCTTGGTCCATTACAGCAGCATCTGTAGGAGACGGAAGTCATCAAAACCGCTTGGAGGGCCCTTCTGGGTCCTCATTTCATGGGCAGACACCAACCCACAGGGGGAGGCTGTAGGTGCCTGAGGCTCTTCAGCTGCCAACATCCAGACTCAGACATTCTATCTCTCTGAGTTCAAGACCCCATCCCATGAAGTGCTCTCAATTGGCATCCCATTGATTCTGTCTCCCACTTTCTGCCTGTCATGGAAGCTTCTGGATGTCAGTGGCTGCAGGGGATGTGAGGATACAGTTCAGAACCAGGCAATGGTCTGTGAGCTGAAGGCAGGGGCAGGTTGTCTGGTGCTCTCTCTAGAAAGCCCTGCCTCTGTGGCTCCTCCCTTGGGCCAGGGACCATCCTGCCAGTGAGGAACACACACCCGCGTGCTCCCATCCTGCTTCCCCACATGGCCCTGAGCTCTCTGGCCTCTGCTTCGTGAGACTTACTCTTTTTGTTGGAGCACCAGCGATAAAGGAGAAAGAAGAGGAGGAGGATGAAGAGGAAGATGACCACTGAGGTCCCAATCAGAACATGCAGGTGTCTGCAGATACCTGGAGGAAGATGGGAATCCAATAAGAAGCTAATCATAGCAGTTCCTCTTTATGGATTGTCTCATTTCTTGATTGACAGGTAACCACATGGAACATCTCCTTAGGACAAGCAGCCTGATGGCGGGAGACCCAGCTTTCTCCTGCTTTCTCAGTTACAGCTCTCATAGAAACCATAGAACATGCTGAGGATACAGCTGCTTTAGTTTAGATGTTTGACCCTTTGAAACCTCACACTGAAATATTGAAATTTAACCCCCAGTGTGGAAGTTTGGGCCTATGGGAAGGTGTTTGAGTCATGGAGGTGGATCCATCATGAATAGATTAATGCTGCCCCACATGATGGGGTTAGCAAGTTCCCCCTCTATTAGTTCCCGGAGGGCTGGTTGTTAAAAAGAGCTTGGAAGCTCCATCGCTCGCCCTCCCCCTTGCTCCCTCTCTTGCCATGTGATCTCTGTGGTCTCTGCACAGACAGACCCTCCTTCCCTTCTGCCAGAGTGGGAGCAGCCTGAGGCCGTCACAGGAAACAGATGCTGGTGCCATGCTTCCAGTACAGCCTGCAGAACTGTGAGGCAAACAAATCTGTTTTCTCTAGAAGTTGCCCAGGCTCTGGGATGCAAGGCTGGTTCAATATATGCAAATCAATAAATGTAATCCATCATATAAACAGAACCAAAGACAAAAACCGGACGACTATCTCAATAGATGCAGAAAAGGCCTTTGACAAAATTCAACAACGCTTCATGCTAAAAACTCTCAATAAATTAGGCATTGATGGGACGTATCTCAAAATAATAAGAGCCATCTATAACAAACCCACAGCCAGTATCATACTGAATGGGCAAAAACTGGAAGCATTCCCTTTGAAAACTGGCACAAGACAGGGATGCCCTCTTTCACCACTCCTATTCAACATAGTGTTGGAAGTTCTGGCCAGGGCAATTAGGCAGGAGAAGGAAATAAAGGGTATTCAATTAGGAAAAGAGGAAGTCAAATTGTCCCTGTTTGCAGATGACATGATTGTATATATAGAAAACCCCATTGTCTCAGCCCAAAATCTCCTTAAGCTGATAAGCAGCCTCTACAAAGTCTCAGGATACAGAATCAATGTACAAAAATCACAAGCATTCTTATACACCAATAACAGACAAACAGAGAGCCAAATCATGAGTGAACTCCCATTCACAATTGCTTCAAAGAGAATAAAATACCTAGGAATCCAACTTACAAGGGATATGAAGGACCTCTTCAAGGAGAACTACAAACCACTGCTCAATGAAATAAAAGAGGATACAAACAAATGGAAGAACATTCCATGCTCATGGGTAGGAAGAATCAAGATCGTGAAAATGGCCATACTGCCCAAGGTAATTTATAGATTCAATGCCATCCCCATCAAGCTACCAATGACTTTCTTCACAGAATTGGAAAAAACTACCTTAAAGTTCATATGGAATCAAAAAAGAGCCTGCATTGCCAAGTCAATCCTAAGCCAAAAGAACAAAGCTGGAGGCATCATGCTGCCTGACTTCAAACTATACTACAAGGCTACAGTAACCAAAACAGCATGGTACTGGTACCAAAACAGAGATATAGATCAATGGAACAGAATAGAGCCCTCAGAAATAATGCCACATATCTACAACTATGTGATCTTTGACAAACCTGAGAAAAACAAGCAATGGGGAAAGGATTCCCTATTTAATAAATGGTGCTGGGAAAACTGGCTAGCCATAGGTAGAAAGCTGAAACTGGATCCCTTCCTTACACCTTATACAAAAATTAATTTGAGATGGATTAAAGACTTAAACGTTAGACCTAAAACCATAAAAACCCTAGAAGAAAACCTAGGCATTACCATTCAGGACATAGGCATGGACAAGGACTTCATGTCTAAAACACCAAAAGCAACGGCAACAAAAGCCAAAATTGACAAACGGGATCTAATTAAACTAAAGAGCTTCTGCACAGCAAAAGAAACTACCATCAGAGTGAACAGACAACCTACAAAATGGGAGAAAATTTTCGCAACCTACTCATCTGACAAAGGGCTAATATCCAGAATCTACAATGAACTCAAACAAATTTACAAGAAAAAAACAAACAATCCTATCAAAAAGTGGGCAAAGGACATGAACAGACACTTCTCAAAAGAAGACATTTATGCAGCCAAAAAACACATGAAAAAATGCTCACCATGACTGGCCATCAGAGAAATGCAAATCAAAACCACAATGAGATACCATCTCACACCAGTTAGAATGGCGATCATTAAAAAGTCGGGAAACAACAGGTGCTGGAGAGGATGTGGAGAAATAGGAACACTTTTACACTGTTGGTGGGACTGTAAACTAGTTCAACCATTGTGGAAGTCAGTGTGGCGATTCCTCAGGGATCTAGAGCTTGAAATACCATTTGACCCAGCCATCCCATTACTGGGTATAAACCCAAAGGACTATAAATCATGCTGCTATAAAGACACATGGACACGTATGTTTATTGTGGCACTATTCACAATAGCAAAGACTTGGAACCAACCCAAATGTCCAACAATGATAGACTGGATGAAGAAAATGTGGCACATATACACCATGGAATACTATGCAGCCATAAAAAATGATGAGTTCATGTCCTTTGCAGGGACATGGATGAAATTGGAAATCATCATTCTCAGTAGACTATCACAAGGACAAAAATCCAAACACCGCATGTTCTCACTTATAGGTGGGAATTGAACAATGAGAACACATGGACACAGGAAGGGGAACATCACACTCTGGGGACTGTTGTGGGGTGGGGGGAGGGGGGAGGGATAGCATTAGGAGATATACCTAATGCTAAATGACGAGTTGATGGGTGCAGCACACCAGCATGGCACATGTATACATATGTAACTAACCTGCACATTGTGCACATGTACCCTAAAACTTAAAGTATAATAATAATAAAAATTTTAAAAAAAAGCTCATCAGAAGCACTATACAAAAAAAAAAAAAAAAAAAAAGAAGTAACCCAGGCTCAAGTGTTCTTTTATAGCAACAAAAATGGACTAAGACAGCAACGTCCTGAGATCAGGAGGAACGTCTCAGAACAGCCTGTGCTGTCTTCCTGTTCTTCCTGGAGGAGGACGTCATGCAGTGCTTTAGCTGAGTGCTTCCTGTGGCTTCAGGGTACAAAACCCAGGCTGGGCTATTTTCTGGCTTCCCCCAGATACACTGCAAATGAGGTGACTCCATATGTCCCGAGCAGCTTTTCTGAGCCTTGAGGGACTGGCTCACGTTGAAATGTAGGCTTCTGTTGTCACTCGCTGCTTATCTGTTAGTAATGAACCTGCCTATGTAACGTATTCTCTGTGTGTTCTGTCTCCCTGGAGTGACGGTGAGTGATAGAAATTGGCATAGGCCCAGGTGCAGTACAGCAGGTGTTTAGAGTCTTCTCTGGAAAGACTGGACTGGGATTGATACACAGTGAATGTGCTTTACAGTTTCTACATCCACAACCCTCTTGACTCAAATTACATTCTCCAAGAAAAGGACACAAAAGTGAAATCAAGATCAAAAAAGCAAAGTAGAATTCTCTTATGTCAAACAGCCAGGAAATAATGATGAAGCCCATGTGAAACGTGCTACTCTTTGTGATCTCGCGAGACACATGTTAGGCTGCTGTTCCACCTGAGAGGCTGGGGGAAAGACCACCCCCTCCACCATCTATTGCTTCAAAACCACCTGTCCTCCTGTGAATTAGTAGGAAAGGGGAGCAGGAGCTAGTGCTGGTGCTGATCTCTGATTCCAAGATCTGAACTCACTCCAAGGAGTATTAGCGTTTACCTCCCCATGATCTATCTGTATCTCCACAGGTGATTGGAAGTAGGGGTGAGGTGGGGGATTTGGGTGAGGGGGAAAGTTTCTTGTGATGAACAGAGCACTTTCCCTATTTCAGGGCCTGTGCTGGTGGGTTCAGGGGGCTTTCATATTTTCCATATGATCTCATGTTCACAGAAAGCCAAATATGGAAGAGGTTTTAGGCTGATTTTCTAATGGATAAGATAAAGGATCAAAGAAGTAATTATAGAGGAATAGAAAAATGATGATTGGAATTCAGGTGCCTGCATCATTTGTGTATATTATTATATTTATGTATTTTTTATTTTTATTTTTTGAGACAGAGTATCCCTGTGTAGCCCAGGCTGGTGTGCAGTGATGCGATCTCCACTCACTGCAACCTCTGCCTCCAGGGCTGAAGTCATTCTCCTGCTTCCTCCTCCAGAGTAGCTGGGATTACAGTCATGCACCACCATCATGCCTGTTTAATTTTTGTATTTTTAGTAGAGATAGGGTTTCTCCATGTTGGCCAGGCTGGTCTCGAACTCCTGACTTCATGTGATCCACCCGCGTTGGCCTCCTGAAGTGCTGGGTTACAGGCGTGAGCCACCGTTCACAGCCTTGTATATTATGCTATACTAGGTCCCTTCATTTGCACCACCCCTCATCTAGCTCTCCCTCCTCTGCCAGGTATTGATTTAGATGCAGGAGAAATAAATCTCAGAAATAAGTTAGTGAAGCGAGGATTAAACTACCAGGAAAAATTAAACCCAGCAAGCCTTTCCAGCCAATGATTCTACCTCACAAACATATCTTATATCCATCTACTTCATTCATTTAGTGTCTAAATCAGCACCACATTTCACCAGTGGGGCGGCAATTGCCTTTTCCACGGTCTCCTAGATTCCAGTTATGCAACTGAGCCTCCCTTATTTTCATGTCAGTCATATTAATCATGTAGGGATTCCTGGTTACCTCGAGGTGAATCCAATGGCTGTGAGTGTCAAACACACGCTCCTTGTTGCTCCTTAGTTTCCTGTGTACCCAGTGTGCTCTCCGTCTCTCTACAGTCATCTTGTCATTCTCCCCACCTCATTCCCAGCATTTCAGGCAGAGCCTCTTCCTTCCACATCAGATTGTTTTCACCTTTGTGCCTTCACGGCTGACAGCTGTGTGTGCAAAATCCTTCCGCCAATCTTTCAGGGGTTCAATCCGTGTTTTTCATTAATGTCACAAATATCTGATTAGTGAGAACTTCTCTGTCACCTGAAATAATACACTCAGCATTATCTATTATTGATTTGAAAATTTGGCTTGGCCCCGTGGCTCATGCCTCTTATCCCAGCGTGTTGGGAGGCAGAGGCTATTGGATCACCTGAGGTTGGGAATTTGAGACCAGCCTGGCCAACATGGTGAAACATCCTCTCTACAGAAAATATGCAAAAAGAGTTAGCCGGGCGTGGTGGTTGTGGTCTGTAATCCCAGCTACTGGAGAGGCTGAGGGAGGAGATCAGTTCAGCCCAGGAGGTGGAGGTTGCAGTGAGCCGAGATCATGCCACCGCACTCTAGCCTGGACGACAGAGCAAGGCTCCGTCTCAATAAACAAGTAGGTAAATACATAAATAAATAGATTTCATGCACAGATGCTTCTCAATAGATCATTCATTTATTGGTCCCCTTGTGCCTACATTTTCTGCCCTCCCATTTAACCATCTGCAAGATCAGTGTCCCAAGAACAGAGGCCAAATGCATCTTGTTCACTGTTTGTGGAAGGCAGGAGAATGTTGTCCCACCCCAAAAATGTCCATGTCCTAGCCTCCATAGCTTGTGAATATGTTATTTTACATGAAAGGAGGAATGAAGATTGCAGATGGAATTATGGTTGCTAGTCAGCTGAACTTAAAAGGAGGGTATCCTGGATGATTTCCGGGAGATTATGATGGATTTTCATCTTGGTGAACCCAATAGAATCCCCAAGTTTTCAAAAGAAGGGCAAGAAGGGAGAGCAGCATTCAGAGAAAGAGGTGTGGTAAGGAAGAAGGGTCTGAGTGATGCCATGTGAGATGTGACCAGTCTTTGTGGGCTTTGAGGAAGGAGGAAGGGTACCAGGAGCCAAGGAACATGGGAGCCTCTAGAAGCTGAGAAAAGTGAGAAGCAGATTCTTGCCTGGAACCCTCAGAGGGAAGGCAGCCTTGCTGTCACCTTGATTTTAGCCCAGTGACATGCACGTCATGCTTTGAGCTACAGCACTGTAAGATAATTAAATAACCGTTTTGTTTTCACACACGAATCTTGTGGAAATTTGTTATGGCAACAATAGGAAAAGCTTCCACACTGCACAGCCTGAGCATGGGGCTGTGGCTGAATGAGTCACTGAGTCGAAGTGTGCGTGCATGAGCTCTGTTCTCTGTTACGGCAAGGCTCTTGCTCTGCTGAGTCAGCCAGGGTTGCCTGATGACCAACAGTAATTCATTCCTTGGCAAGTGGAACTTCTCTAAAACACCCACCCTCATCAGATGTTCCCTTCCCTTCCCTCTCTCAAGCCCCCGGGAATTTATCCTCCAGTTAGGAATGCAGGCAGAAAAAACACTGCATTTTTCCTGAGAAGGATGTCAGATTGGCAATTATTCTTCTAGCTTGTAGGAGGTCTCACCTGCAGGAAATTAAAGGTAAAGAGACTTCGCTGAGCCCTTTGGTGGCCCTAGATCCCTTTCACTGTTGGAGTGTCTGGAGTTCAGAGATGGTGGAAGACAGGCCCTCATTCACAGAGCTGGGAGGTTTGAGCCAACACTTGCATCCAAGGCTTCCACCTCCCCAGGTTTCCAAAAGCAGAGATAAGAGGGGTCCTTTACTCACCAGATTTGGAGCTTGGTTCTGTGGGTGAAGGCCAACTACTTGAAGGGTTTCCTAGAACACGGGACAGGAGAGATGTGAGGAAATGAGGGTGCTTGTCCTCTACTCAATGGAAATCTTTGAGGTTGGTTCATGGCCAACACTCTGTTATCTAATGTTGGACCCTGGGAGTCTTGGGATCCTTTTCTCCATAATTTTTGTGTGCGATGCCCACTGTCTTGAGACTTGAAGGTATAAAGAGAAAACAGGAGCATCACACTACCTGACTTAGAAATATGTTACAGAGCTGTAGTAAGCAAAACAGCATGACATTGGCATAAAGAAAGGCACATAAAAAATGGAACAGAATGGAGAACACAGATATAATCCATGCATTTACATCCAATGGCTTTCTTTTGTGTGTGTGTGATAGAATCTTGCTCTGTCATGCAGGCTGGAGTGTAGAGGTGCAATCTCAGCTCAATGCAACCTCCACTTCCTGGATTCAAGAAATTCTCTTGCTTCAAACTCCTGAGTAGTGGTATTACAGGCACTGATCACCATGCTCAGCTAATTTTTGTATTTTTAGTAGAGACGAGGTTTCACTCTGTTGGCCAGCCTGGTCTTGAACTCCTGGCTTTAGGTGATCCACCCGCCTCGGCCTCCCAAAGTGCTGGAATTGCAGGTGTGAGCCACCATACCCAGCCCATTTAATGGACTTTGACAAAGGTGCCGAGAACTTACAATCAGGAAAGGACAGTCTTCAATAAATGGTGTGGGGAAAACTGGATATCTACATGCAGAGGAATAAAACTGCATCTATACCTGTCACCTTACACAAAAATCAAATGAAAATGGATTAAAAACATGAGTCTAAGGCCTGAACCTATGAAACATGTAGAAGAAAATAATGGGGAAGACATTTGTCTGACAAAAGACATTTTGTTTAAAACCTTCAAAACACAAGTAATCAAAGCAAAAAATAGACCATTAGGATTACATCAAACCAAGCAACTTCTGCACCACCAAAGATAAACCAACAAAGTGAAGAGACAACCCACAAAATAGGAGCAAATATTTGCAAACTATTCATCTGAGACGGGATTAATAACTGGAAATATAAGAAGCTCAAACAACTCAATAAAACAATTTAATTAAAAAACGAGCAAAAGACATGAGGAGACATTTCTCCACAAACAAAACATAGAAATGGCGATCACGTATATGAAAAAGTGCTCAGCATCACTCATCATCACAGAAATGTAAATTACAATCGCGATGAGTTTTCATCTCATCCCATTAAAATGCCTTTTAGGCCGGTGGCTCACGCCTGTAATTCCAGCACTTTGGGAGGCGGAGGTGGGCGGATCACCTGAGGTCGGGAGACCAGCCTGACCAACATGGAGAAACTCCCTCTCTACTAAACATACAAAAATTAGCTAGGCGTGGTGGCACATGCCTGTAATCCCAGCTACTTTGGAGGCTGAGGCAGGAGAATCAGTTGAACGCGGGAGGCAGAGGTTGCAGTGAGCCGAGATCACACCCTTGCACTCCAGCCTGGGCGACTATGAGTGAAACTCCATCTCAACATAAATAAATAAATAAATAAAGTAAAGTAAAATGGCTTTTATCTGCAAGACAGGCAAAACAAATGCTGGCAAGATGGTAGAGAAAGGAGAACCCTGGTACCCTGTTGGTAGGAATGTAAATTAGTACAACTATTATGGAGAAAAGTATGGAAAATCTTTAAAAAACTAAAAGGAGGCTGGGCATAGTGGCTTATGCCTGTAACTTCAGCACTTTGGGAAACCGAGGCAGGCACCTCACTTGAGGTCAGGAGTTTGAGAGCAGCCTGCCCAAAATTGGGATATCCCGTCTGTGCTAAAAAATACAAGAATTAGTCAGGCATGGTGGCGTGCACCTGTAATCACAGCTATTAGGGAGGCTGAGTCAGGAGAATCGTTTGAACCTAGGAAGCAGAGGTTGCAATGAGCCAAGATCGCACCACTTTGACTCCAGCTTGGACTAAGGAGGGAAACTCTTTCTCAAAAAAGAAAAAAAAAAAAAGAGAACTTTCATAGTGTCCAGCAATTTCACTACTGGGTTTATATCCAAAGGAAAGGACATCAGTGTATCGAAGTGATATCTGCACTCATATGACTGTTCCAGCACTGTTCACAGTAGCCAAGATGTGGAGTCAACCTACCTGCCTATCAGTGGGTGAATGGATAGAGAACTGTAGTACACACACACGGTGGAGACTACTCATCCATAGAAACAATAACATCCTGTCATTTGCAGCCACATGGATGGAACTGGAGGTCATTACAAAGATTCCCATTTCTCACCACATGCAGGAGATAAAAGGTGGATCTCATGAAGGTAGAGAATAGAATGGTGGATACCAGAGGCCAGGAAGGGAAGGGTGGAAGGTAACAAAAAAAAGAATATAGATGTATTTATTTATTTAGAAACAGAGTCTCTCTCTGTCTCCCAGGCTGCAGTGCAGTGGCATGATCTCGGCTCAGTGCAACCTCTGCCTCCTGGCTTTAAGTGCTTCTCCTGCCTCAGCCTCCCAAGTAGCTAGGACTACAGGTGCATGCCGGCATGCTTGGCTAATTTTTCTTGTCTGTTTAGTAAAGATGAATTTCCCGCATGTTGGCCAGGCTGATCTCGAGTCCCTGATCTTAAATGATCCACCTTTCTTGGCCTCTCAAAGCGCCAAGATTACAACCGTGAACCACCACACCCAGCATATAAAGGTATTTATGACCACTAGATTTTACTTTTAAAAATGGTAAAGTTGGTAAATTATATAGTTACATTTAACCTCAATAAATATTTTTGAAAATGAAAAGAAAAGAGTGTAGGGGTTGCTGGTGATGACATCTCTCTGTGTGGGTGAGAGGCCAGGATGGGCTTCTGGGAAATGGGTAAGGTTGAGGGGCTGAGGGAACCTCTGATCTCCCCAAACTGAGCCCAGTCTCCCCTTCTCTGGGTCTGTCCTGACCGCTTTCTCCATCTGCCTGGGTGCCTGGAGCCCTGACCATGGGCCTCCATGCAGGCCATGCAAGAGGGTTTGGAGGTGCCCTGTCTGCCATCCTGCACCCTGACCCCCCCCTCACACCCAGTCTTCGTGTTCTCTCTGCATCTGTCCGTGCTTCTCCCCATCATCGGCAGGAAGCTCCTCAGCTATGGCTCTAGGATCATAAGACATGGGACAGACACGGGTTTTCCTCACCTGTGACAGAAACAAGCAGTGGGTCACTTGAGTTTGACCACACGCAGGGCAGGGCATGGAAAGAGCCGAAGCATCTGTAGGTCCCTCCGTGGGTGGCAGGGCCCAGAGGAAAGTCTGCCTGGAATGTTCTGTTGACCTTGGGCACTGCACGGAGCCTACGTTCATGGGCCTCCCCTTCCCTGGACAGATGGTAGATGTCATAGGAGCTCCAGGAGCTACAGGACAAGGTCACGTTCTCTCCTGCCTGAACCGTGGGGCCCGGCTGGGCTGAGAGAGAAGGTTTCTCATATAGACCTGGAAGGAGAAGAGGCAGTTTCCTCAGGGAGGTTCTTCCTTGTCACAGCTCCCCTCATACCTGAGCTGAGAACTCACTCCCCTGCTCTATGACCTAATGCTCTCTCTCTCTCTCACCCTCCACCCCAACTCTCTTCATGTCTATTTCCTCCTTCCGCCTTCTCTGTCTCTCTAGGTCTCTGACCTCACTTCCCCACCCCTGGGTATGCTTTCCCTTTTTGGATTGTTTTATTCTCTCTGACTCTCCTTGGATTGGTTGACTTGATCTTCCTTTTTCTATAATTCTGAGTCTCTCACTTTCTGTCTTGTTCATAACTTTCTGCATATTTCTATCTATTATCTATCTATCTATTTTGTGTCTATCTACAAATTATCTGTCATCTATATCTATGTATCATTTATCTATCAATTGTCTATCTGTCTATCCATCAATCATCTATGTATTATCTGTATCTATGTATCATCTCTCTCTCTCTCTATTACCTCTCTGTCTGCCTGTCAGTCTCTATGTATCATCTATGTATCTATATATTTATATATGTGTCTTCTATCTATCTATCTTCATCATCATCATCATCATCATCTCTATGTATCATCTATCAATCATCATCTATGTATCTATAACCTATCCATTATCTATCATCTACCTATTTATCATCTATCTATATCTATCTATCCATCTATCATCTGTCTCTCTCCATCTCCTTGTCTTTCTCTGCCTCTCAGTCTCTCTAGTTCTATTTGGAATCTCTGCAATCCATCCCCACATCTTTATCTTTCTCTGTCTTTGTGCCCCTCCCTCAGGGTTCTGATTTTGGGGCTTTTCTCTCCTCCCTTCCAGCATTCTCTCCACTCCTCTGCCCTCTTTTCTTTCTTTTTGTGTGTCTGTGAGTCTCTCAATCCCCTTCCTCTGGCTCATTCTCTGTGTGTTTATGCCTTTGCTTTTTGAAGTCCCTGATTTATCTCTGTGTCTCTCAGTGATCCTATTATATGTAGGATTATTTGGAATATGAGCCTCAGAATCTAGTCTGGGGACACCAAGTACACACAGTATTTAGGGGTTGGTGTTCTGGGGCCATGATATCCTGGGATAATTATGGCTCCACTGCATGGAAGGCAGAGGTGTCAGAATAAACATGGCATCTGTAGATGCCACAAGGCCTGAGGCCACAGGGCCCAACTCAGGTCAGAAATATGGGTGTCCTTGGGTTCTCCTCGTAGAAGCACTTTGTGGAGACAAAACAGAAATGAAACTTCTAACCTGTGCCAGGTCTCTGAGCAAAGTCAGCATGGAAGGACACTTCTCTCTGGCACATGTCTGTCTGTCTGAGTGTCTCCTTTACCTCTTTCTCTCTTTTCTACTTCCCCGTATGGCCCCTGTGTCTGTCCTCTGTTATGACACCTGGTCTGTACTTATGTCTCCTGTTTCCCTGTCTCTGTTGGTACAGACCTCACCGAGTCAGTCTCTCTCCATAAGAATCCCACGCTTATCTTCCTCATGACCACCTGGGGGTTCCAAGTCCTGGATCATTCACTCTGTGTCCCAATGACAATGAGAAGAATGTCTGGACACTCTCACCTGTGATCACGATGTCCAGGGGGTCACTGGGAGCTGACAACTGATAGGGGGAGTGAGGAACAGAACCATAACATCTGTAGGTTCCTGCAAGGACAGGCATCAAGGGACCGATGGAGAAGTTGGCCTTGGAGACCCCATCATGGATCTGTCCAACGAGGCGTGAGGGGTCCTCAGAGATCCCCTCTCTGTGCAGAAAGAAATGCTCAAACATGACATCTGACCAACATTGCAGGATGACTGTCTCTCCTGATTTCAGCAGGGGCCCTGGGTGGGCCAGGAGGGAAGGTTTTCTGTGGTTTCCTAGAAAGAGAAGTTGTGAGTTTAGAAGGCATCTCTCTTTATCATCCCATCCATGGCACCTGGAATGAGTGAGGGTTCCCCTCCCAGAGGTCTGTCTCTCTCCTCCCTCTCTGTGTCTCCGTGTCTTTTCTGTGCCCATATCCCCTGGTGCAGGTCCCTCCATTTGTCTTCCTCCCTCTTCTCTGTCCCTCTGTCTCCAGTAGCCCCTGACTCCCTTCCCACTGTGAAGAGAGCCTCATCTCTTGGGCTGTTGTATCTCTTTCCCACTAGTCTCTTTCCTGCTGTCTATGTGGGGGTGGAAGAGGACAGGCTGCATGTCCAGGCTCTCAGCAGCCTGAATCAATCTCTTTTGAACAAATTGGAGTCTCTGGCAGAGGTATCAACTCATCAGTAAGGCAGACATCAGTGTCCACACACCCTGTTCCTGATGGGGATTGGGAGCCTCTCCTGCCATGTCTGTGCCTTCTCCATGGCCCCAGCTTCCATAGGGTGGTCCCTGGTGCTGGTTCCAGGAGCATCAACCCCTTCCTATGTGGATGGAGCCTGGTGGTGGCATCAGCATCCCACCCTTGCTGATCCCACGGTAGCCAACCTTCTCCTTGTTTGGTTTCTTTAATTAATTGATTAATTAATTTATTTTTGAGACAGTCACTTTTTCACCCAGGCTGGAGTGCAGTGGTGTTGTCTTGGCTCACTGCAACCTCTGCCTCCCCGGTTCAAGTGATTATCTTGCCTCAGCCTCCCCAGTCGTTGGATTACTCATGCCCACCACCACACCTGGCTATCCTTGTTTGGTTTCCTAGCTTGTCCTTGACCTGGGTTCCTGTGTCGGTTTCCTGTTGCTGCTGCAGAAAATTATCACAAACATGGCAGCAGGAGAGAACACACTGACCCCTTCCACTTCTGGGGACAGAAATTGGATCCAGTTCTCCCTGTGCTGAAATCAAGGCATCTGCAGGGCTGCGTTCCCTCTGGAGAATCAGCGAATCAGTTCTCTTGACTTCTCCAGCCCTTAGAGGCCACCTGCATTCTGTGACTAGTGGCCTTCCTCCACCTTCAAAGCCCACAGTGGCTGATAGCGTCTCCCTCCCACTACACTGCTCTAATCCCCACTCCCCTCTTCCTCCACCTCTCACGCGGACCCTTGTGATTACACTGAGCCCAGCAGGACAGTCCAGGCTGTCTCCCCATCTCAAGGTCAACTCATCAACAACCTGAGCTCCACCTTCCCCTTCAGTCCCCTGCCCTATAACATAAATAGTCACAGGCTCCAGGGTTTACAATGTAGCCATCATTGGCGACAGTTATTCTTCCCACCACAGCGCCCATTTCCCCTGTATTCAATCCCCCTTGACCCCAAATACAGTTGGGGCCTGGGTGATGGGACCCTGATGGACACCCCCACCAGAAGCTCTGGGATTCAGGAGGTGGGACAGTGAGAAGCCCAGACAGAAAGCCTCTGACCTGTGACCATGATCACCAGGGGGTTGCTGGGTGCCGACCACCCAGTGAGGGAGTGTGGGCGTGAACCCCGACATCTGTAGGTCCCTGCATGTGCTGGGGTCACAGGGCCCATGATGAAGCTCTCCTGGAATATTCTGCCGTGGAAGATGGGAACGTGGCTTCTGTCTTCTTTGTACAGCATGAAATTGTTAAACCCACGACGATAGTGACACTGAAGAGCCACGTGTCCTCCTCGAGGCACCACAGTGCTGGGCCGGGCAGACAGGAAGGGTTTGTCCTGACCACCTGGGGGAGAAGGAGGCACTGCCTTAGAGAGGAGGATGTGGAGCCACCCCTCACTCCCTGTGCTCAGAAGATTCTCCCATTTCCGCTTTCTAAGGCTCCTACCACACCTGGGTGCCCAGGGCTACAGGAAGGACCCACCCCACATAGACATGGCGTCTCCCTACAACAAGTGTCAGCTGAGAACTTTGAGCAAGTGCTGAATAAGTGACTCTTACTAGATTTTAATACTGCAAAATTACTCACATAAAACAACACAAAGTAGACACGGCGTGGAGGGCATGTCCTATGTGAATGGAATATCAGCCAATTCATGAACTGAGCCCCCTCAGAGGATTTGGAATGTCAGGGCCATGGCTGTGGTTTCCCCCCTCTTCTGGTAGAAAGACCGCAGCCACACTGCAGCCCCTACCGTCACGGAAACGCTGGAGGGTGTCAGTTATACCTTTGTCCTCAGAGGACCTGCTGTTCCTAGCACTGCTTCCCTCTCTTTCTCTGCTGCTGACACCACTTCCTCCCTGCACACCCCAGCTTGGAGCACCCCAGTCTCACCCCAGTCTTCACAGAGCTTGACTCAGGAAAGGGAAAGAAAGGCCGGGGAGGGCGAGGTCAGAAATGTGGGCCGAGTATCCAAGGGTCCCCTCTTCCTAGTTTATGAGAGACTCCCCGACAGGACTTCCCTCCTGTTTCAGAAAAATCCTCTTATGTGGGGAGATGACACCCTAAGGTTTGGGGAAGGACTCACCCATGAGTGGCCAGGCCCCCTGCAGCAAGAAGAACCCTGGAAAGAAAGATCATGATAGACGATCCAACTGCAGGCAAACCAGGGCACCCTGCTGCCCCCACTGCACTGTGTGTCTTGGCAGCCAGGCCCTTGCTGGGCTGAAGGTAAACTTAGCCTCCCTGCTACCTGCTGCCAAGAACAGGGCTCTCAGCTGTGGAGAGACCCAGGCTCCAGGCCCAGATCAACACTTCCTGGCCCAGATCTCCACTCCAGGCCCATATCTCCACTCCAGGCCCCTATCTCCACTCCAGGCCCCTATCTCCACTCCAGGCCCATATCTCCACATCAGACCCATATCTCCACTCCAGGCCCAGATCTCCCCTCTAGGCCCATATCTCCACTCCAGGCCCATATCTCCACTCCAGGCCCATATCTCCACATCAGACCCATATCTCCACTCCAGGCCCATATCTCCACTCCAGGCCCAGATCTCCACCTGCAGGCCCATATCTCCACTCCAGGCCCATATCTCCACTCCAGGCCCGTATCTCCACTCCAGGCCCATATCTCCACACCCAGGCCCATATCTCCCCTCCAGGCCCATATCTGCACTCCAGGCCCATATTTACACCTCCAGGCCCATATCTCCACACCCAGGCCCATATCTCCACTCCAGGCCCATATCTCCACTCCAGGCCCATATCTTTACCTCTAGGCCGAGATCTCCATCCCCACTCTCCCTCCCTCTATTCCCTTCCAGGACTCACCAACGCACGCCATGCTGACGACAGTGAGCGACATGGTGCTGCCGGTGCAGACAGGAGGCCGCGCCCCAGCTCAGCTCAGCAGCGCACAGGATGTTATTTGGCGCCCTGCCCATGCAGTTTACATGTTGACCACATCATGGGAGGGTGACGTACGCAGGCTCTTTCTACCTTGCATGAGGCCCAGTGGGTGCTCGCTCAAGAGCGGAACATGGCTTCCTGGAAATTGTTGTGACTACAATTGCCACCTTGCATCCTTCACTATGACCAGACTCAAAAGACGTCTCAGATCCAACCTCTCACACATGAGGTGATTGAATTCTGTGCTTACATTAAAGACTTTTGATGTATTTTTGTTTTTATCTGAGATTCAAACTTTTCTTCATGTGTAATGTGCAAAATATCTAAGAGGTATTATTAACATTATCAGAGTAATTGTGACAAAAAGCCATTCTAATTTTCCTGATGAGTTTCTAGTACTAAACCTGAGGCACGAGAATTGCTTGAACCTGGGAGGCGGAGGCTGCAGTGAGCTGAGCTCAAGCCACTGAACTCCAGCTTGGGTGACAGAGGAAGAG
This sequence comes from Homo sapiens, assembly GCF_000001405.40. Classification (NCBI taxonomy): domain Eukaryota; kingdom Metazoa; phylum Chordata; class Mammalia; order Primates; family Hominidae; genus Homo; species Homo sapiens. Next base: position 150,530 of record NW_016107306.1, on the reverse strand, counting down.
TCTGTCTCAAGAAAGAAAAAAAAAAGCAAACTAAATAACCTATAATAACAAATCAGAGAACTCAGGTTACCAAATTTTAAGGGGTTCTATAAGTTTATATGAAATGCAGCATCCTCATGAGAGGGGATACAGAGAACCACTGGGCAGAAAACTGTGTCTAAAATACATCTGTGGATACACAGTCCCTTTATAGTTGACAAAGGCTGCCATGTAGTTTAAGGTGGAATAGAATATTTTCTCAATAAATAACACAGGACCATAGGGTTACACGTAGGAAAAAATAAATCTAAACTTATCCTCACACTATAAAAACACTTCTTATTTTTTATCTTGTTGTTGTAAACTTTTTATGCTTTATTTTTAAGATTGACAAATAAAAATTATATACTGTGGTCCTTCACTATTCCTGGGTGATTGGTTCCAGGATCCCCATTCAGATACCAAAATCTGCAGATGCTCAAGCCCCTTGCATGAAATGGCATAGCGAAGCTGGGCACCGTGGCTCACGCCTGTAATCCCAGCACTTTGGGAGGCTGAGTTGGGTAGATCACGAGGTCAGGAGTTCAAGACCAGCTGGTCCAACATTCTGAAACCCCGTCTCTACTAAAAATACACACACAAAAAAATTTATCTGTGCATGGTGGCACGTGCCTGTAATCCTAGGGGAGGCTACTGGGGAGGCTGAGGGAAGACAATCGCTTGAACCTGGGAGGCGGAGGTTGCAGTGAGCTGAGATCATGCCACTGCACTCCAGCCTGGGTGAGAGAGTGAGACTGTCTCAAAAAAAAAAAAAAAATAGCATAGCAATTGCATAGAACCCATGCACATCCTCCTGTATACATGAAATCATCTCTTGATTACTTATAATTCCTGACACAGCCTACACGCCACTCAATTTGTGTCGATTCAACATAGTTTTTTGCTTCTTGAAACTTCGGGGATTTTTTTCTGAAAATATTTTTGATTTATTGTTGGTTCAATAAACACCTGTAAACCCCACAGATATGGAGGACCGACTGTATATTTATATTATGAAAGATGATATGTTGATATGTGTCCCCGTGGAGATGAGACTAACAAGGCCTATGTCTCTACAAATGTTTCATCGTGGAATGACTCTGCCAGCTTTCCAGGTCTGCAGAGAGTAAGAATATCACTTGTTCATGTGATTCACGATCCTTGGAGCCTCCTATGTGCTGTATCTTTGGATGGAAATTGGAGTCTCAGAGACAAATCAGGCTACATTCTGCTTCCAGAAGCTCAGAGTCCAGGGCTGAGAACCCAATGGAGAACAGATGGGGTTATGTGGACATGGTAATGATAACACCGGAAGCCTTAGGCAAGAAAAGAGTCTCGTTACCGAAACCATGAGGGCAGACATGTTTATTTGAAGGCGGGAAAACTACATTGAAATTATTTAAAAAATTTATAAGTTTTACTGCTGGCAGAAGGCTGAAAGATAGTCTGAAGGGAGGTGGAACAGCACCTGTCTAAGTGCTGTGTTAAGAGGCAGCCTCTTGTATGTTTGGAATTGTGAGTTCCTCAGTGTGATTGCAGCCTCAGGTAGACTAGGAAGTAAGCCAGTTAGGTTGGAGAGGTGGGCAGGGGTCAAGTGAAATGGAGAATTGTGGGCTAAGCAAAGGAGTGTGTTTTCTCTCCAGCAGGCAGTGGGGACCTTAGACATTTGTAAGCAAGAGAGAGGCATGTTCAGATTCGTGGTGTGAGGAAGAGCGATGCCCTAAGATGAAGACTGATGCCTTCAGATTCCAGCTGCTGGTACATGGGAGCTGGCAACCCGGTTTTGAGACAGGGCTGTTGTCTCCCTAGAAGATCCCCTCAAGGCCTGACTGTGGTGCTCGTGGACAGAAGACAACTTTGGATCTGGGCTCAGCATTTGGAAGTTCTATGTACATGCTGGTATCTGTTGGGGGTGTCTTGGGCCTCTCAGAAGGGCGAGTGATTTTTCTCTGTGTGAAAACACAGTGATCCAATTATGCGTATGACACCTCCTGATGGTCTTGTTCATCAGAATCCTGGAGAGAGGGAAATGCTGAGTGAGGGAGGGTGCTCACATTTTTCAGGACTCTTTGGGAATAAGACTAGCCACGAGGCTGGGCCGAGGAGCACCTACCTCGCTGTTCACTGTTCTGTTCCCTGCAGGCTCTTGGTCCATTACAGCAGCATCTGTAGAAGACGGAAGTCAACAAAAGAGCTCGGAGGGCACTTCTGGGTCCTCATTTCATAAGCAGATACCAACAAACAGGGGGAGGCCATAGGTGCCTGAGGTCCCTCAGTTGCCAACAGCAGACTCAGACATTCTATCTCTCTGAGTTCAAGGACCCATCCCATGAATAGCTCTGAGGTCCCATCCCATTGATTCTATCTCCCACTTTCTGCCTGTCATGGAACCTTCTCCTGGATGTGAGTGGCTGCAGGGGACGTGAGGATACAGTTCAGAATCAGGCAATGGTCTGTGAGCTGAAGGCAGGGGAAGGGAATCTGGTGCTCTCTCTAGAAAGTCCTGCCTCTGTGGCTCCTGTCTTGGGCCAGGGACCATCCTGCTGGTGAGGAACACACATCCGCGTGCTCCCATCCTGCTTCCCCACATGGCCCTGAGCTCTCTGGCCTCTGCTTCGTGAGACTTACTTTTTTTGTCGGAGCACCAGCGATGAAGGAGAAAGAAGAGGAGGATGGTGAAAGGGATTTTGACCACTGAGGTCCCAATCAGAACATGTAGGTGTCTGGGGTTACCTGGAAGAAGAGGAGACACCAATAAGAAGCTAATCATAGCAGTTCCTCTTTATGAATTGTCTCGCATTTCTTGATTGGCAGGTAACCACATACAACGTCTCTTTAGGACAAGCACCCAAATGGCGGGAGACCTAGCTTTCCCCTGCTTTCTCAATTATAGCTCTCATAGTAACCATAGAACGTGCTGAGGATACAACTACTTTAGTTGAGATGTTTGACCCTTTCAAACCTCACATTGAAATTTCACCCCCATTGTGGGAGGTTGGGCCTCTTCAGAGGTGTTTGGGTCATGGAGGTGGATCCATCATGAACAGATCAATGCTGTCCCAAGGAGACGGGGTTAGCAAGTTCCCCCTCTGTTAGTTCCTGGAGAGCTGGTTGTTAAAAAGAGCTTGGAAGCTCCATCGCTCCCTCTCCCCCTTACTCTCTCTCTTGCCGTGTGATCTCTGCGGTCTCTGCACAGACAGACCCTCCTTCCCTTCTGCCAGAGTGGGAGCAGCCTGAGGCCGTCAAGAGAAATAGATTCTGGTGCCATGCTTCCAGTACAGCCTGCAGAACTGTGAGGCAAACCAATCTCTTTTCTTTAGAAGTTACCCAGGCTCAAGTGTTCCTTTAGAGCAACAAAAATGGACTAAGATAGCAACATCCTGAGATCAGGAGGAATGTCTCAGAACAGCCTGGGCTGTCTTCCTGTTCTTCCTGGAGGAGGACGTCATGCAGTGCTTTAGCTGAGTGCTTCCTGTGGCTCCAGGGTACAAAACCCAGGCTGGGCTGCTTTCTGGCTTCCCCCAGTTACACTGCAAATGGGGTGACTCCATATGTCCCGAGCAGCTTTTCTGAGCCTTGAGGGACTGGCTCACATTGAAATGCAGGCTTCTGTTGTCACTCGCTGCTTATCTGTTAGTAATGAACCTGCCTATGTAACGTATCCTCTGTGTGTTCTGTCTCCCTGGAGTGACGGTGAGTGATAGGAATTGGCATAGGCCCAGGTGCAGTCCAGGATTTGTTTAGAGTCTTCTCTGGGAAGACTGCACTGGGATTGATACACAGCGAATGTGCTTTAGGATTTCTACATCCACAGCATTCTTGAGTCAAACAAATTGCATTCACCAAGGAAAGGAAACAAAGGTGAAATCACGATTAAAAATAGCGAAGCAAGATTCTCTTATGTCAAACAGCCAGAAAATAGTGTTGAAGCCCGTGTGAAATGTGCTGCTCTTTGTGATCTCGGGAGACACATGTTAGGCTGCTGTTCTACCCGAGAGGCTGGGGGAAGGACCACCCCCTCCACCATCTATTGCTTCAATACCACCTGTCCTCCTGTGAATTAGTAGGAAAGGGGAACAGGAGCTAGTGCTGTCGCTGATCTCTGATTCCAAGATCTGGACTCACTCCAAGGAATATTAATGTTTCCTCCCCATGGTCTATCTGAATCTCCACAGGTGATTGGAAGTAGGGGTGAGGTGGGCGATTTGGGTGAGTGGGCAAGTTTTTTTTTGCGATGACCAGAGCACATTCTCTATTCCAGGATCCGTGCTGGAGGATTCAGCGGGCTTTCACATTTTCTATGTGATCTCATGCTCACAGAAAGCCAAATAGGGAAGAGGTTTTAGGCTCATTGCCTAATGGATAAGATAAAGGATCAAAGAAGTAATTATAGAGAAATAGAAAAACGATGATTGGAATTCAGGTGCCTTTGTCATTCGTGTGTGTTTTATTATATTTATGCATTTCTTATTTTTATTTTTTGAGACGGAGTCTCCTTGTGTCACCCAGGCTGGAGTGCAGTGATGCAATCTCCACTCACTGCAACCTCCACCTCCTGGGTTGAAGTCATTCTCCTGCTTCATCCTCCAGAGTAGGAGCTGGGATTACAGGGATGCACCACCATGCTCGGCTAATTTTTGTATTTTTAGTACAGATAGGGTTTCACCATGTTGGCCAGGCTGGTCTGGAACTCCTGACTTCATGGAATCCACCCGCCTTGGCCTCCTGCAGGGCTGGGTTACAAGCATGAGCCACCGTTCACAGACTTGTATATTATGCTATAATAGGTCCCTTCATTTCCACCACCCCTCATATATCTGTCACTCCTTTGCCAGGTATTGATTTATGTGTAGGATGAATAAATCTCAGAAAGAAATTAATTAAGCGAGGATTAAACAAGTAGGAAAATCAAACCCAGCAAGCCTTTCCAGCCAATGATTCTACCTCACAAGCATATCTTATATCCATCTACTTCATTCATTTAGTGTCTAAATCAGCACCACATTTCACCAGTGGGGCGGCAATTGCCTTTTCCACAGTCTCCTAGATTCCAGTTACGCACCTGGGCCTCCCTTATTTTCTTGTCAGTCACTATTAATCATGTAGGGATTCCTGGTTACCCCGAGGTGAATCCAATGGCTGTGAGTGTCAAACACACACTCCTTGTTCCTCCTTAGTTTCCTGTGTACCCAGAGTGCTCTCCATCTCTCTACAGTCATCTTGTCATTCTCCCCACCTCATTCCCAGCATTTCAGGCAGAGCCTCTTCCTTCAACATCAGATTGTTTTCACCTTTGTGCCTTCACAGCTGACAGCTGTGTGTGGAAAATCCTTCCGCCAATCTTTCAGGGGTTCAATCCGTGTTTTTCATTAATGTCACAAATATCTGATTAGTGAGACCTTCTCTGTCACCCAAAATTATACACTCAGCATTATCTATTATTTATTTTGAATTCTGGCTGGGCAAAGTGGCTCACGCCTGTAATCCCAGTACTTTGGGTTGCTGAGATGGTCGGATCACTTGAGGTTGGGAGTTTCAGACAAGCTTGGCCAACATGGTGAAACATCCTCTCTACAAAAAATATACAAAAAGAATTAGCCGGGCATGGTGGCAGTTGCCTGTAATCCCAGCTACTCGAGAGGGTGAGGCAGGAGAATCACTTGGATCCAGGAGACGCAGGTTGCAGTGAGCCAAGATCGTGACACTGCACTGTAGCCTGGAAGACAGAGGGAGACTCTGTCTCAATAAACAAACGAACAAACAAACAAATAGATTTCATGCACAGATGCTTCCCAATGGATCATTCATTTATTGGTCCACTTGTGCATTCATTTTCTGTCCTCCCATTTAACCATCTGCAATATCAGTGTCCCAAGAGCAGAGGCCAAATGCATCTTGTTCACCATTTGTGGAAGGCAGGAGAATGCTGTCCCACCCCAAAATGTCCCTGTCCTAGCCTCCATAGCTTGTGAATATGTTATTTTACATGGAAAGGAGGAATGAAGATTGCAGATGGAATTATGGTTGCTAATCAGCTGAACTTAAAACAAGGGTATCCTGAATGATTTCCGGGAGATTATGACGGATTTTCATCTTGGTGAACCCAATAGAATCCCCAAGTTTTCAAAAGATGAGGAAGAAGGGAGAGCAGCATTCAGAGAAAGAGGTGTGGTAAGGAAGAAGGGTCTGAGTGATGCCATGTGAGATGTGACCAGTCTTTGTGGGTTTTGAGGAAGGAGGAAAGGGACCAGCAGCCAAGGAACTGGGAGCCTTTATAAGATGGGACAAGTGAGAAGCAGATTCTTGCCTGGAATCCTCAGAGGGAAGGCAGGCTTGCTGTCATCTTGATTTTAGCCCAGTGAGATGCACTTCATGCTTTGAGCTAGAGCACTGTAAGATAATTAAATAACCGTTTTGTTTTCACCCACGAATCTTGTGGAAATTTGTTATGGCAACAATAGGAAAAGCTTCCACACTGCACAACCTGAGCATGGGGCCGTGGCTGAATAAGTCAGTGAGTCAAAGTGTGCGTGCATGAGCTCTGTTCTCTGTTACGGCAAGGCTCTTGCTCTGCTGAGTCAGCCAGGGTTGTTTCATGACCAACAGGAGCTCATTCCTTGGCAAGTGGAACTTCTCTAAAACACCTCGCCCTCATCAGATGTTCGCTTCCCTTCCCTCTCTCAAGCCCCCAGGAATTTATCCTCCAGTTAGGAATGCAAGCAGAACAAACATTGCGTTTTTCCTGAGAAGGATGTCAGATTGGCAATCATTCTTCTAGCTTGTAGGAGGTCTCAGCTCCATAAAATGAGAGATGAAGAGATTTCACTGAGCCCTGTGTTGGGCCCAGATCCCTTTCGCTGTTGGAGTATCTGGAGTTCGGAGATGGTAGAAGACAGGCGTACAATGTCAGAGCTGTGAGATGCTGAGTCAACGCCTGAATCCAAGGTTTCCACCTCCCCAGGGTTCCAAAAGCGGATATAAGAGGGTCCTGTACTCACCGGTTTTGGAGCTTGGTTCAGTGGGTGAAGGCCAACTATTTGAAGGGTTTCCTAGAACATGAGACAGGAGAGAGGTGAGGAAATGAGGGTGTCTGTCCTCTACTCAGTGGAAATCTTTGAGTTTGGTTCATGGCCAACACTCTGTTATCTAACATTGGGCCCTGGGAGTCCAGGGATCCTTTCTTCCATAATTTTTGTATGTGACGCCCACTGTCTTGAGACTTCAAGGTATAAAGAGAAAACAGGAGCATCACACTACCTGATCTCAAAATATGTTACAGAGCTGTAGTAAGCAAAACAGCATGATGTTGGCATGAAGAAAGGCACATAGAACAACGGAGCAGAATGAAGAACACAGATATAATCCATGCATTTACATCCAATTTTTTTTATTTTTTCTTTTGAGATGGAGTCTCGCTCTGTCACCCAGGCTGGAGTGCAGAGGTGCAATCTCGGTTCACTGCAACCTCAGCCTCCTGGGTTCAATCAATTCTCTTGCCTCAAACTCCTGAGTAGTAGTATTACAGGTGCTGACCACCATGCTCAGCTAATTTTTATATTTTTAGTGGAGACGATGTTTCATCACGTCGGCCAGAGTAATCTTGTACTCCTGTCCTCAGGTGATCCACCAGCCTTGGCCTCCCAAAGTGCTGAAGTTGCTGGTGTTAGCCACCATGCCCAGCCCATCCAATGGACTTTGACAAAGGTGCCAAGAACTCACAATCAGGAAAGGACAGTTTTTTCAATAAACAGTGCAGGGAAACCTGGACATCTACATGCAGAGGAATGAAACTGCACCTCTACCTGTCACCATACACAAAAATCAAATGAAAGTGGATTAAAGATGTGAGTCTAAGGCCTGAACCTGTGAAACACGTAGAAGAAAATATTGGGGAAATGCTCCAGTACATTTGTCTGAAGGAAGACATTTTGTTTTAAACCTTCAAAACACAAGTAATCGAAGCAAAAATAGACCATTGGGATTACCTCAAACTAAGCAACTTCTGCACCGCTAAAAATAAACCAACAAAGTGAAGAGACAACCCACAGATTGGGAGCAAATATGTGCAAACTATGCATCTGAGACGGGATTAATAACTAGAAGTATAAGAAGCTCAAACAACTCAATAAAACAAATGATTTAATTGAAAAAGGAGCAAAAGACATGAAATTTCCCCACATACGAAAAAGTGCTCAGTATCACTCATCATCAGAGAAACGCGAATTAAAATCAAAGTGAGTTTTCATCTCACCCCATTAAAATGGCTTTTAGGCCGGGCGAGGTGGCTCACGTCTGTCATCCTAGAACTCTGAGAGCCCGAGGTGGGCGAATCTCATAAGGTCGGGAGTTTGAGACCAGTCTGACCCACATGGAGAAACGCTGTCTCTACTAAAAATACAAAAATTAGTCGGGCGTGGTGGCGTGTGCCTGTAATTCCAGCTACTCGGGAGGCTGAGGCAGGAGAATCGCTTGAACCTGGGAGGTGGAGGTTGCGGTGAGCCGAGATCGCACCACTGCACTCCAGCCTGGGTGACAAGAGCGAAACTCCATCTCAAAATAAAATGAAATAAAATAAAATGGCTTTTAGCTGCAAGACAGGCAAAACAAATGCTGGCAAGGTGGTAGAGAAAGGAGAACCCTGGTACCCTGTTGGTAGGAGTGTAAATTAGTACAGCCATTACGGAGAAAAGTATGGAAGTCCTTTAAAGAACTAAAAAGAGGTTGGATGAAGTGGATCATGCCTGTAATCCCGGCACTTTGGGAGACCGAGGCGGGCACCTCAGTTGAGGTCATGAGTTTGAGAGCAGCCTAGCCAACCTGGGGAAACCCCATGTACACTAAAAAAAACCAAAAAGTATCCCGGCATGGTGGCGTGCACCTGTAATCCCAGCTACTAGGGAGGCTGAGGCAGGAAAATCATTTGAACCCAGGAGGCGGAGGTTGCAATGAGCCAAGATCACATCACTTGTACTCCAGCCTGGGCACAGAGGGAAACTGTCTCAAAAACAAAAACAAAACAACAAACGAAAAACTAAAAAGAGAACTTTCATAGTATCCAGCAATTTCACTACTGGGTTTATATCCAAAGGAAAGTAAATCAATGTATCGAAGTGATATCTGCACTCGTATGATTGGTGCAGCACTCTTCACAGTAGCCAAGATGTGGAGTCAACCTACCTGCCCATCAGTGGATGAATGGATAGAGAGAATGTAGTACATACGCACAGCGGAGACTACTCATCCATAGAAAGAATAACATCCTGATATTTGCAGCCACATGGATGGAACTGGAAGTCATTACAAATATTCTCATTTCTCACCCATATACAGGAGCTAAAAGGTGGATCTCATGAAGATAGAGAGTAGAATGGTGGCTACCAGAGGCCAGGAAGAAAAGGGTGGAGGATAAAACAAACAAACAAAAAATTTATATGTATGTATTTATGACCACTAGACCTTACACTTAAAATTGGTAAACGTGGCCGGGCGCGGTGGCTCATGCCTGTAATCCCAGCACTTTGGGAGCCTGAGGCGGGTGGATCACGTGGTCAGGAGTTCCAGAGCAGCTCGACCAACATGGTGAAACCCCCTCTCTACTAAATATACAAAAAGTAGCCCGGCGTGGTGATGGGCGCCTGTAGTACCAGCTACTCAGGTGGCTGAGGCAGGAGAATCGCTTGAACCCAGGAGGCGGAGGTTACAGTGAGCTGAGATTGTGCCACTGCATTCCAGCATAGGAGACAGAGCTAGACTCCACCTCAAAAAAAAAAAAATGTTAAAAGTGGTAAGCTATATAGGTATATTTAACCTCAATGAATATTTTTTCAAACAAAAAGAAAAGGATGTAGGGGTTGCTGGTGATGACATCTCTGTGTGGGTGAGAGGCCAGGAAGGGCTTCTGGGAAATGGGTAAGGTTGAGGGGCTGAGGGAACCTCTGATCTCCCCAAACTGAGCCCAGTCTCCCCTTCTCTGGGTCTCTCCTGACCGCTTTCTACATCTGCCTGGGTTTCTGGAGCCCTAATCGGAGGCCTCCATGCAGGCCATGCAGGAGGGTTTGGAGGTGCTGTGTGTGCCATCCTGCGCCCTGATCCCTCCCTCACAGGCATGCTGCGTCTTCTCTCTGCATCTGTCCATGCTTCTCTCCATCATCAGCAGGAAGCTCCTCAGCTAAGGCTCTAGGATCATAGGACATGGGACAGATATGGGGTTTCCTCACCTGTGACGGAAACAAGCAGTGGATCACTCGAGTTTGACCACTCGTAGGGAGCGTCACGGAAAGAGCCGAAGCATCTGTAGGTCCCTCCGTGGGTGGCAGGGCCCAGAGGAAAGTCGGCCTGGAATGTTCCGTTGATGCTGCGCACTGCAGGGAGCCTACGTTCATGGGCCTCCCCTTCCCTGGATAGATGGTACATGTCATAGGAGCTCCGGGAGCTGCAGGACAAGGTCACATTCTCTCCTGCCTGAACCGTGGGGCCCGGCTGGGCTGAGAGAGAAGGTTTCTCATATAGACCTGGAAGGAGAAGGGGCAGTTTCCTCAGGGGGGATCTTCCTTGTCACAGCTCCCCTCACACCTGACCTGAGAACTCACTCCCCTGCTCTATGGCCTAATGCTCTCTTTCTCTGTCTCACCCTCCACCCTATCTCTCTTCATGTCTATTTCCTCCTTCCACCTTCTCTGTCTCTGTAGGTCTCTGACCTCACTTCCCTACCTCTAGTTATGTTTTCCTTTTTTGGATTGTTTTATTCTCTCTGGCTCTCCTTGGATTGGTTGACTTGATGTTACTTTTTTTAACTCTGAGTTTCTCAGTTTGTGTCCCGTTCATAACTTTCTGCATATTTCTATCTATTATCTATCAATCCATCTATTTATCTATTCGGTGCCTATCTACAAATTCTCTACCTGTCATCTATATCTATATATCATCTATTTATCTATCAATTGTCTATCCGTCAATCATCTATTATCTATATATATGTATCATCTCTCTCTCTCTATTATTTCTCTCTTTGTCTTCCTCTCTATCTCTATGTATTATCTATCCATCTATCTTCATCATCATCATCTCTATGTATCATCTATTAATGAATCAATCAATCATCATCTATGTATCTATAACCTATTATCTATCATCTACCTATATATCATCTATCTATATCTATCCATCATCTATCTGTATCTATCCATCTATCATCTGTCTTGCTCTGCCTCTCGGTCTCTCTAGTTCTCTTTGGAATCTCTGCAATTCATCCCCACATCTCCATCTTTCTATGCCCTTGTGCCTCGCCCTCAGGACTCTAATTTTAGTGGTTTTCTCTGCTCTCTTCCATCATTCTCTCCACTTCTCTGCCCTCTTCTCTCTCTTTATGTGTCTGTGAGTCTCTCAATCTCCTTCCTCTGGCTCTTTCTCTGTGTGTTTATGTCTTTGCTTTTTGGTGTCCCTGATTTCTCTCTGTGCTTCTCAGTGATCCTCTCATATGTGATATGTGGGGTTATTTGGAATGTGAGCCTCAGAATCCAGTCTGGAGACCACAAGTTCACACAGCATACAGGGGTTGGTGTTCTGGGGCCATGATATTTTGGGACGATTATTCTCCATTGCATGGAAGTCAGAGGTGTCAGAATAAGCATGGCATCTGTAGGTGCCACAAGGCCTGAGGCCACAGGGCCCAACTCAGGTCAGAAATATGGGTGTCCTTGGGTTCTCCTGGTAGAGAACACTTTGTGGAGGTAAAACAGAAATGAAACTTCTAACCTGTGCCAGGTCTCTGAGCAAAGTCAGCATGGAAGGACACCTCTGTCTGGGACATGTCTGTCTGTCTCCTTTAACTCTTTCTGTCTTTTCTAACTCCCTGTATGGCCCCTGTGTTTGTCCTCTGTTATGACACCTGGTCTGTACTTGTGTCTCTTGTTTCTCTGTCTCTGTTGGCACAGACCTCACCAAGTCAGTCTCTCTCCATAAGAATACCAAGCTCATCTTCCTTACAACCACCTGGGTCTCCAAGTCCTGGATCATTCACTCTGCATCCCAATGACAATGAGAAGAATGTCTGGACACTCTCACCTATGATCACCATGTCCAGAGGGTCACTGGGAGCTGACAACTGATAGGGGGAGTGAGGAACAGAACCGTAGCATCTGTAGGTTCCTGCAAGGACAGGCATCATGGGACCAATGGAGAAGTTGGCCTTGGAAACCCCATCATGGTGCTCTCCAATGAGGTGCAAAGTGTTGTTAAACTTCCCCTCTCTGTGCAGAAGGAAGTGCTCAAACATGACATCCGACCAACATTGCAGGATGACTGTCTCTTCTGATTTCACCAGGTGACCTGGGAGGGCCAGGAAGGAAGGTTTTCTGTGGACTCCTAGGAAGAGAGGTTGTGAGTTTAGAAGGTGTCTCTCTTTATCATCCCATCCATGGCACCTGGAATGAGTGAGCCTTCCCTTCGCTGGTGTCTGTCTCTCTGCTTCCTCTCTGTGTCTTCATGTTCTTTTCTGTGCCCATAACTCCTGGTGCAGGTCCTTCCATCTGTCTCCCTCCCTCTTCTCTGTCCCTCTGTCTCTAGTAGCTGTGATTCCCTTCCCACTGGGCTCAGCCTCATCTCTTGGGCTGTTGTATCTATTTCACACTAATGTCTTTCTTACTGTCTATGTGGGAGTGGAAGAGGAAGCAGGATAGGCTGCACGTCCCGGCTCTTAGCAGCCTGGTTCAATCTCTTTTGGACGAATTGGAATCCTTGGCAGGAGGTATGAACTGATCAGTAAGGCAGGCACCAGTGTCCACACACCCTGTTCCTGGTGGGGACTGGGAGCCACTCTTGCCATGTCTGTGCCTTCTCCATGGTGCCAGTTTCCATAGGCTGGCTCCTCGTGCTGATTTGAGGAGTATCAACCCCTCCCTATGTGGATGGAGCCTGGTGGTGGCATCATCATCCCACCCTTGCTGATCTCGGTGCAGCCAACCTTCTCTTTGTTTGGTTTCTTTAATTAATTAATTAATTTTGGAGACAGAGTCTCACTCCTTCACCCAGGCTGGAGTGAAGTGGTGTGGTCTACGCTCACTGCAACCTCTGTCTCCTGGGTTCAAGCGATTCTCCTGCTCTCAGCCTCCCGAGTCGCTAGGATTACATGCACCTGCCACCATGCCTGGCTATCCTTGTGTCTTTTCTTAACTTGTCCTTGACCTGGGTTCCAGTGTTGGTTTCCTGTTGCTGCTGTAGAAAATTATCAGAAGCATGGCAGCAGGAGAGAGCACACTGACCCCCTCCGATTCTGGAGACAGAAAGCGGACCCTGTTTTTCGAGGGCTAAAATCAAGGCATCTGCAGGGCTGTGTTCCCTCTGGAGACTCAGGAGAATCAGTTACTTGACTTTCCCAGCCTCTATAGGCCACCTGCATTCATGGCTTATGGCCTTCATCCACCTTCAAAGCTGATGGAGTCTCCCACTACGCTGCTCTAATCCCCACTCTCCTCTTCCTCCTCCTTTCATGTGGACACTTGTGATTATACTGAGCCCACCGGGACAGTCCAGGCTGTCTCCCCATCTCAAGGTCAACTCATCAACAACCTGAGCTCCATCTTCCCCTTCAGTCCCTTCCCCTATAACATAAATAGTCACAGACTCCAGGGATTAGAATGCAGTCATCACTGGGGACACTTATTCTTCCCACCACAGCACCCATTTCCCTGTATTCAATCCCCCTTTACCCCAAATACAGTTAGGGCCTGCGTGATGGGACCCTCAAGGACATGCCTACCAGAAGCTCTGGGATTCAGGAGGTGGGACAAGGAGAATCCCAGACAGGAGCCCTCTGACCTGTGACCATGATCACCAGGGGGTTGCTGGGTGCCGACCACCCACTGGGGGAGTGTGTGTGTGAACCCCGGCATCTATAGGTCCCTGCATGTGACGGGGTCACAGGGCCCATGAAAAGGCTTTTCCAGAATATTCTGTTGTACAGCTCAGGGACAGGCACCCCATCATCCTTGTACAGACTGAAGTTGTTAAACCCAAGATTAGAGTGACACTGAAGAGTCACATGTTCTGGAGGCACCACAAGGCTGGGCCAGGTAGAAAGCAAGGGCTTGTCCTGACCACCTTGGGGTGAAGGAGGCGCCGCCTTAGAGAGGAGGATGTGGAGCTGTGCCTCCCTCCCTGTGCTCAGAAGATTCTCCCCACTTTCCACATTTCTATGGCTGCTATCACACCTTGGTGCCTAGGGCTAAAGGAAGGACCCATCCCACAAAGACAAGGTGTCTCCGTACAACAAAAGTGTCAGCTGAGAACTTTGAGCAAGTGCTGAGTAAGAGACTCCTACTAGATTTTAATACTGTAAGATTACTGACATAAAACAACACAGGGTAGACATGAAGTGGAGGGCATGTCCTTTGAGAATGGAATATCAGCAGTTGCCTGAATGATAATAAAAAACTTAGCCCCCATCAGAGGATTTGGAATGTCAGGGCCATGGCTGTGGTTTCCCACCTCTTCTGGTAGAATGACAGCAGCCACACTGCAGCCCCTACCGTCATGGAAACGCTGAAGTGTGTGAGTAACACCTTTGTCCTCAGAGGATCTGCTGTTCCTACCACTTCCCCACCACACAACCCAGCTTTGAACACCCTAGTCCAACCCTGGTCCCCACACAACTTGACTCTGCCAAGGGGTTGAGAGGCCAGGGAGGCAAGGTCGGAACTGTGGGCCGAGCACCCCAGGGTCCCCTCTTCCTAGTTTATGAGAGACTCCCTGACAGGACTTCCCTCCCGTTTCAGGAAAATCCTCTTATGTGGGGAGATGACACCCTAAGGTTTGGAGAAGGACTTACCCTCCTGTGGCCAGGCCCCCTGCAGCAAGAAGAACCCTGGAAAGAAAGATCATGATGGAAGATCCATTTGCAGGCAAACAAGGCCTTCCTTGCTGCCCCCACTGGGCTGTGAGTCTTGATAGCCAGCCCCTTCCTGGGCCGAAGGGAAACTCACCATCAGTGCCTACCTGCACCCAAGAACAGTGCTCTCGGCTGTGCAGAGACCCAGCCTCCAGGCCCATATCCCCACCCCAAGCCCATATCTCCACTCCAGGCCCATATCTCCACTCCAGGCCGATATTTCCACCCTAGACCCATATAGCCAATCCGGGCCCACATCTCCAATCCAGGCTCAGATCTCCACCCTCGGCCCATATCTCCAATCCAGGCCCATATCTCCACTCCAGGCCCATATCTCCACTCCAGTCCCATATCTCCTCTCCAGTCCCATATCTCCACTCCAGGCCCATATCTCCACCCCAGGCCCAGATCTCCACCTCCAGGCCCATAACTACACTCCAGGATCATATCTCCACTCCAAGCCCATATCTCCACATCAGGCCCATATCTCCACTCCAGTCCCATATCTCCACACCCAGGCCCATATCTCCATTCCAGGCCCATATCCCCATCCTAGGCCCATATCTCCACCGTAGGCCCAGATCTCCACTCCAGGCCCATATCTCCACTCCAGGGCCATATCTCCACCTCCAGGCCCATAACTTCACTCCAGGCCCATAACTCCACTCCAGGCCCATATCTCCACCTCCAGGCCCATATCTCCACTGCAGACCCATATCTCCACTCCAGGCCCATATCTCCACTCCAGGCCCAGATCTCCACTCCAGGCCCAGATCTCCACTCCAGGCCCAGATCTCCACCTCCAGGCCCCTATCTCCACTCTAGTCCCATATCTCCACTCCAGTCCCATATCTCCACCTCCAGGCCCATAACTTCACTCCAGGCCCATAACTCCACTGCAGACCCATATCTCCACTCCAGGCCCATATCTCCACTCCAGGACCATATCTCCACTCCAGGCTCATATCTCCACTCCAGGCCCGTATCTCCACCTCCAGGCCCATAACTTCACTCCAGGCCCATAACTCCACTCCAGGCCCATATCTCCACTCCAGTCCCATATCTCCACTCCAGTCCCATATCTCCACCCTAGGCTCCTACCTCCCCTCCAGGTTCCTATCTCTCCTCCAGGTTCCTCTCTCCACTCCAGGTTCCTATCCCCACTCCAGGCCCATATCTCCACTCCAGGCCCAGATCTTCACTCCAGGCCCAGATCTCCACTCCAGGCGCAGATCTCCACTTCTAGGCTCATCACTCCATCTCTAGGCCCAGATCTCCACTCCAGGCCCATAACTCCACCTCCAGGCCCATATCTCCACCTCTGGGCCCAGATCTCCATCCCCACGCTCCCTCCCTCTATTCCCTTCCAGGACTCACCAACACACGCCATGATGATGACCATGAGCGACATGGTGCTGCCGGTGCAGACAGGCGGCCGCGCCCCAGCTCAGCTCAGCAGCGCACAGGATGTTATTTGGCGCCCTGCCCATGCAGTTTACATGTTGACCACATCATGGGAGGGTGACGTACGCAGGCTTTTTCTACCTTGCATGAGGCCCAGTGGGTGCTCGCTCAAGAGCGGAACATGGCTTCCTGGAAATTGCTCTCACTAGAATTGACACCTCGCGTCCTTCACTATGACCAACTCAAAACATGTCTTAGATCCAACCTCCCAAACATGAGATGCCTAAAATCTGTGCTAACATGAAAGACTTTTCATGAATTTTTATTGTTTTTATCTGAGATTCGAACTCTTCTTCCTGTGTAATATGCAAAATATCTAATAGGTATTATTAGTGTTTTCAGAGTCATTGTGACTAATAAACCATTAGAATTGTTCATGCTTGTATTTCTAGTATTACAGCAGAACCAGTTCAAATGATTTAAATTCCCAGGGAAGGATTATGCAATTATTTACAATCTTAGAATTGTACTTTATCAGCAAAAACCACACATGTAAATTCTGGATTTTTGTAGTTTTATCTATAATTTGTCTCATGACTCAAGATTCCAGAGTCCCAACTTTGGAGTTTGCTCTCTCTCTGTCTCTCTGCCTCCCTCATTTTAAATTTTACAGAAATATCCAGTAACATAATGCTATAGAAAATCAAGTTTCCCCCAGCAGGTCGGGAAGCCGAGGTGGGCGGATCAACTGAGATGAGGAGATTGAGAGCAGCCTGGCCAACATAGTGAAACCGTGTCTCTGCTAAAAATCCAAAAATTAGCCGTGCCTGGTGGCAGGCACCTGTAACGCCAGCTACTCAAGAGGCTGAGGCACGAGAATCGCCTGAACCTGGGAGGCGGAAGTTGCAGTGAGCTGAGATTGCTCCACTACAGTCCCGCCTGGGCGACAGAGCAAGACTCCGCCTCAAGAAAAAAAAATAGCAAGTAGCCTATAATAACAAATTAGAGGGCTCTGGCTACTAAATTTAAAGGGTTTTATAAGGCTACATGAAGTGCAGCATCCTCAAGAGTGTGGACACAGAGAGCCCCTTAGCAGAAACAGTGTCTAAAATACATCCGTGTACACACAGTCCCTTTAGAGTTGACAAAGGCTGCCGTGTGGTTTAAGGTGGCATAGAATGTCTTCTTAATAAATAATATTAAACCAAAGGGTTACACGTAGGAAAAAATAAATCTAAACTTATTCTCACACTATAAAAACACTTCTTACTTTTTATCTAGTTATTGTACATTTTTTATGATTTATATTTAAAATTGAGAAATAAAAGTCATATACGGTCATCCTTTACTATTCGTGGGTGATTGGTTTCAGGATCTCCACTCAGGTACCAAAATCTGCAGATGCTCAAGCCTCTTACATAAAATGACACAGCATTTGGATATAACCCATGCACATCCTCCTGTATACATGAAATCATCTCTTGATTACTTATAATTCCTGATACAGCCTACACACTGCCTCATTTGTGTCCATTCAACATAGTTTTGCATTTTGAAACTTTGTGGACATTTTCTCTGAATATTTTTGATTTACACTTGGTTCAATAAACACCTGTAAACCCCACAGATATGGAGGAGCGACTGTATATTTATAGTATGAAATATGATGTGTTGATATGTGTCCCCGTGGAGATGAGACTAGCAAGGCTTATGACTCTACAAATGTTTCATCGTGGAATGACTCTGCCAGCTTTCCAGGTTGCAGAGAGTAAGAATATCACTTGTTCATGTGATTCACGATCCTTGGAACCTCCTATGTGCTGCATCTTTGGATGGAAATTGGAGTCCCAGAGACAAATGAGGCTCCACCCTGCTTCCAGAAGCTCAGAATCCAGGGGTGAGAACCCAGCGGAGAACAGATGGGGTTATGTGGACATGGTAATGATAACAGCGGTTTCTTTCAGCGAATACAGTGTCACATTACCTGAAGCAATGAGGGCAGACATGTTTATTTGAAGAGGAGACAGCTACATTGAAATCACAAAAAATTTTATAAGTTTCACTGCTGACAGAAGGCTGGAAAATAGTCCGAAGAAAGGTGAAACAGCATGAGGGAAGGTGGAACAGCACGTGGGTAAGTGCCACGTCAAGAGGGAGCCTCTTGTATGTTTGGAATTGTGAGTTCCTCAGTGTGATTGCAGCCTCAAGTAGACTAGGAAGTAAGCCAGTTAGGTTGGAGAGGTGGGCAGGGGTCAAGTGAAATGGAGAACTGTGGGCTAAGCAAAGGAGTGTGTTTTCTTTCCAGCAGGCAGTGGGGACCTAGACATTTGTAAGCAAGAGAGAGGCACCAGATTTGTGGCGTGAGGAGGAGCGATGCCCTAAGATGAAGACTCACGCCTTCAGATTCCAGCTGCTGGTACATGGGAGCTGGCAACTCGGTTTTGAGACAGGGCTGTTGTCTCCCTAGAAGACGTCCTCAAGGCCTGACTGTGGTGCTCATGGGCAGGAGACAACTTTGGATCTGGGCTTAGCATTTGGAAGTTCCGTGTACAAGATGGTATCTGTAGGGGGTGTCTTGGGCCTCTGAGAAGGGCGAGTGATTTTTCTCTGTGTGAAAACGCAGTGATCCAACTGTGCGTATGTCACCTCCTCAGGGTCTTGTTCATCAGAGTCCTGGAGAGAGGGAAATGCTGAGTGAGGGAGGGAAATGCTGAGTGAGGGAGGGTGCTCACGTTTTCCAGGACTGTTTGGGAATAACACTAGCCACGAGGCTGGGCCGAGGAGCACCTACCTCGCTGTTGGCTGTTCTGTTCCCTGCAGGCTCTTGGTCCATTACAGCAGCATCTGTAGGAGACGGAAGTCAACAAAAGAGCTCGGAGGGCACTTCTGGGTCCTCATTTCATAAGCAGATACCAACAAACAGGGGGAGGCCATAGGTGCCTGAGGTCCCTCAGTTGCCAACAGCAGACTCAGACATTCTATCTCTCTGAGCTCAAGGACCCATCCCATGAATAGCTCTGAGTTCCCATCCCATTGATTCTGTCTCCCACTTTCTGCCTCTCATGGAACCTTCTCCTGGATGTGAGTGGCTGCAGGGGACATGAGGATACAGTTCAGAATCAGGCAACGGTCTGTGAGCTGAAGGCAGGGGCAGGGAGTCTGGTGCTCTCTCTAGAAAGTCCTGCCTCTGTGGCTCCTGTCTTGGGCCAGGGACCATCCTGCCAGTGAGGAACACACAGCTGTGTGCTCCCATCCTGCTTCCCCACATGGCCCTGAGCTCTCTGGCCTGTGCCCCGTGAGACTTACTTTTTTTGTTGGAGCACCAGAGATGAAGGAGAAAGAAGAGGAGGAGGATGAAGAGGATGATGACCACTGAGGTCCCAATCAGAATGTGCAGGTGTCTGGGGTTACCTGGAAGAAGAGGAGACACCAGTAAGAAGCTAATCATAGCAGTTTCTCTATATGAATTGTCTTGCATTTCTTGATTGACAGGTAACCACTTACAGCATCTCTTTCGGACAAGCACCCAGATGGCGGGAGATCTAGCTTCCTCCTGCTTTCTCAGTTATAGCTCTCATAGTAACCATGGAACGTGCTGAGGATACAACTACTTTAGTTGAGATGTTTGACCCCTTCAAACCTCACATTGAAATTTAACCCCCAGTGTGGGAGGTTGGGCCTCTTGGGAGGTGTTTGGGTCATGGAGGTGGATCCATCATGAACAGATCAATGCTGTCCCAAGGAGACGGGGTTAGCAAGTTCCCTCTCTATTAGTTCCTGGAGAGCTGGTTGTTAAAAAGAGCTTGGAAGCTCCATTGCTCCCCCTCCCCCTTGCTCCCTCTCTTGCCGTGTGATCTCTGTGGTCTCTGCACAGACAGACCCTCCTTCCCTTCTGCCAGAGTGGGAGCGGCCTGAGGCCATCATAAGAAATAGATGCTGGTGCCATGCTTCCAGTACAGCCTGCAGAATGGTGAGGCAAACCAATCTCTTCTTTAGAAGTTACCCAGGCTCAAGTGTTCCTTTAGAGCAACAAAAATGGACTAAGACAGCAAAGTCCTGAGATCAGGAGGATCGTCCCAGAACAGCCTGGGCTGTCTTCCTGTTCTTCCTGGAGGAGGACGTCATGCAGTGCTTTAGCTGAGTGCTTCCTGTGGCTCCAGGGTACAAAACCCAGGCTGGGCTGCTTTCTGGCTTCCCCCAGCTACACTGCAAATGGGGTGACTCCACATGTCTCGAGCAGCTTTTCTGAGCCTTGGGGAACTGGCTCACATTGAAATGTAGGCTTCTGTTGTCACTCGCTGCTTATCTGTTAGTAATGAACCTGCCTATGTAACGTATTCTCTGTGTGTTCTGTCTCCCTGGAGTGACGGTGAGTGATAGGAATTGGCATAGGCCCAGGTGCAGTCCAGGAGGTGTTTAGAGTCTTCTCTGGGAAGACTGGACTGGGATTGATACACAGCGAATGTGCTTTAGGATTTCTACATCCACGGCATTCTTGAGTTAAACAACTTGCATTCTCCAAGAAAAGGAAACAAAAGTGAAATCAATATAAAAAAAGCGAAGTAGAATTCTCTTATGTCAAACAGCCAGAAAATAGTGTTGAAGCCCGTGTGAAATGTGCTACTCTTTGTGATCTCGGGAGACACATGTTAGGCTGCTGTTCTACCTCAGAGGCTGGGGGAAGGACCACCCCCTCGACTATCTATTGCTTCAATACCACCTGTCCTCCTGTGAATTAGTAGGAAAGGGGAGCAGGAGCTAGTGCTGGCACTGATCTCTGATTCCAAGATCTGGACTCACTCCAAGGAGTATTAGCATTTACCTCCCCATGATCTATCTGTATCTCCACAGGTGATTGGAAGTAGGGGTGAGATGGGGGATTTGGGTGAGGGGGCAAGTTTTTTTTGTGATGACCAGAGCACTTTCTCTATTCCAGGATTTGTGCTGGAGGATTCAGCGGGCTTTCACATTTTCTATATGATCTCATGCTCACAGAAAGCCAAATACGGAAGAGGTTTTAGGCTGATTGCCTAATGGATAAGATAAAGGATCAAAGAAGTAATTATAGAGAAATAGAAAAATGATGATGGGAATTCAGGTGCCTTTGTCATTCGTGTGTGTTTTATTATATTTATGCATTTCTTATTTTTATTTTTTGAGATGGAGTCTCCTTGTGTCACCCAGGCTGGAGTGCAGTGATGCGATCTCCACTCACTGCAACCTCCACCTCCTGGGTTGAAGTCATTCTCCTGCTTCATCCTCCAGAGCAGGAGCTGGGATTACAGGGATGCACCACCATGCTCGGCTAATTTTTGTATTTTTAGGAGAGATAGGGTTTCACCATGTAGAGATAGGGTTTCTCCATGTTGGCCAGGCTGGTCTCGAACTCCTGACTTCTTGGAATCCACTGGCCTTAGCCTCCTGCAGTGCTGGGTTACAGGAGTGAGCCACCGTTCACAGACTTGTATACTATGCTATAATAGGTCCCTTCATTTCCACCACCCCTCATATATCTGTCACTCCTTTGGCAGGTATTGATTTATGTGTAGGAGGAATAAATCTCAGAAAGAAATTAATTTAGCAAGGATTAAACAACTAGGAAACTCAAACCCAGCAAGCCCTCCCTGCAAATGATTCTACCTCCCAAACATAGCTTATATCCATCTGCTTCATCCACTTAGGGTCTAAATCAGCACCACATTTCACCAGTGGGGCGGCAATTGCCTTTTCCACTGTCTCCTAGATTCCAGTTACGCACCTGGGCCTCCCTTATTTTCATGTCAGTCACTATTAATCATGTAGGGATTCCTGGCTACCCCGAGGTGAATCCAATGGCTGTGAGTGTCAAACACACACTCCTTGTTGCTCCTTAGTTTCCTGTGTACCCAGTGTGCTCTCCGTCTCTCCACAGTCGTCTTGTCATTCTCCCCACCTCATTCCCAGCATTTCAGGCAGAGCCTCTTCCTTCCACATCAGATTGTTTTCAGCTTTCTGCCTTCACGGCTGACAGCTGTGTGTGGAAAATCCTTCCGCCAATCTTTCAGGGGTTCAATCCGTGTTTTTCATTAATGTCACAAATATCTGATTAGTGAGACCTTCTCTGTCACCCAAAATTATACACTCAGCATTATCTATTATTTATTTTGAATTCTGGCTGGGCAAAGTGGCTCACGCCTGTAATCCCAGTACTTTGGGTTGCTGAGATGGTCGGATCACTTGAGGTTGGGAGTTTCAGACAAGCTTGGCCAACATGGTGAAACATCCTCTCTACAAAAAATATACAAAAAGAATTAGCCGGGCATGGTGGCAGTTGCCTGTAATCCCAGCTACTCGAGAGGGTGAGGCAGGAGAATCACTTGGATCCAGGAGACGCAGGTTGCAGTGAGCCAAGATCGTGACACTGCACTGTAGCCTGGAAGACAGAGGGAGACTCTGTCTCAATAAATAAATGAACGAACAAACAAATAGATTTCATGCACAGATGCTTCCCAATGGATCATTCATTTATTGGTCCACTTGTGCATTCATTTTCTGTCCTCCCATTTAACCATCTGCAATATCAGTGTCCCAAGAGCAGAGGCCAAATGCATCTTGTTCACCGTTCGTGGAAGGCAGGAGAATGCTGTCCCACCCCAAAATGTCCCTGTCCTAGCCTCCATAGCTTGTGAATATCTTATTTTACATGGAAAGAAGGAATGAAGATTGCAGATGGAATTACGGTTGCTAGTCAGCTGAACTTAAAACAAGGGTATCCTGAATGATTTCCGGGAGATTATGATGGATTTTCATCTTGGTGAACCCAATAGAATCCCCAAGTTTTCAAAAGATAAGGAAGAAGGGAGAGCAGCATTCAGAGAAAGAGGTGTGGTAAGGAAGAAGGGTCTGAGTGATGCCATGTGAGATGTGACCAGTCTTTGTGGGCTTTGAGGAAGGAGGAAGGGGACCAGGAGCCAAGGAACTGGGAGCCTTTAGAAGCTGGGACAAGTGAGAAGCAGATTCTTGCCTGGAATCCTCAGAGGGAAGGCAGCCTTGCTGTCACCTTGATTTTAGCCCAGTAAGATGCACTTCCTACTTTGAGCTACAGCACTGTAAGATAATTAAAAAACCGTTTTGTTTTCACCCACGAATCTTGTGGAAATTTGTTATGGCAACAATAGGAAAGGATTCCAACTGCACAGCCTGAGCATGGGGCCGTGGCTGAATGAGTCAGTGAGTCGAAGTGTGCGTGCATGAGCTCTGTTCTCTGTTACGGCAAGGCTCTTGCTCTGCTGAGTCAGCCAGGGTTGCTTCATGACCAACAGTAATTCATTCCTTGGCAAGTGGAACTTCTCTAAAACACCTCGCCCTCATCAGATGTTCCCTTCCCTTCCCTCTCTCAAGTCCCCAGGAATTTATCCTCCAGTTAGGAATGCAGGAAGAAAAAACACTGCATGTTTCCTGAGAAGGATGTCAGATTGGCAATCATTCTTCTAGCTTGTAGGAGGTCTCACCTGCAGGACATTAAAGGTTAAGAGACTTCGCTGAGCCCTTTGGTGGCCCTAGATCCCTTTCACTGTTGGAGTGTCTGGAGTTCAGAGATGGTGGAAGACAGGCCCTCATTCACAGAGCTGGGAGGTTTGAGCCAACACTTGCATCCAAGGCTTCCACCTCCCCAGGTTTCCAAAAGCAGAGATAAGAGGGGTCCTTTACTCACCAGATTTGGAGCTTGGTTCTGTGGGTGAAGGCCAACTACTTGAAGGGTTTCCTAGAACATGGGACAGGAGAGATGTGAGGAAATGAGGGTGCTTGTCCTCTACTCAATGGAAATCTTTGAGGTTGGTTCATGGCCAACACTCTGTTATCTAATGTTGGACCCTGGGAGTCTTGGGATCCTCTTCTCCATAATTTTTGTGTGCGATGCCCACTGTCTTGAGACTTGAAGGTATAAAGAGAAAACAGGAGCATCACACTACCTGACTTAGAAATATGTTACAGAGCTGTAGTAAGCAAAACAGCATGACATTGGCATAAAGAAAGGCACATAAAAAATGAAACAGAATGGAGAACACAGATATAATCCATGCATTTACATCCAATGGCTTTTTTTGTGTGTGTGTGTGTTAGAATCTTGCTCTGTCATGCAGGCTGGAGTGCAGAGGTGCAATCTCAGCTCAATGCAACCTCCACTTCCTGGATTCAAGCAATTCTCTTGCCTCAAACACCCGAGTAGTGGTATTACAGGCACTGGTCACCATGCTCAGCTAATTTTTGTATTTTTAGTAGAGACGAGGTTTCACTCTGTTGGCCAGCCTGATCTTGAACTCCTGGCTTCAGGTGATCCACCCGCCTCGGCCTCCCAAAGTGCTGGAATTGCAGGTGTGAGCCACCATACCCAGCCCATTTAATGGACTTTGACAAAGGTGCCGAGAACTTACAATCAGGAAAGGACAGTCTTTTCAATAAATGGTGTGGGGAAAACTGGATATCTACATGCAGAGGAATAAAACTGCATCTATACCTGTCACCATACACAAAAATCAAATGAAAATGGATTAAAAACATGAGTCTAAGGCCTGAACCTATGAAACATGTAGAAGAAAATAATGGGGAAGACATTTGTCTGACGAAAGACATTTTGTTTAAAACCTTCAAAACACAAGTAATCAAAGCAAAAAATAGACCATTAGGATTACATCAAACCAAGCAACTTCTGCACCACAAAAGATAAACCAAGAAAGTGAAGAGACAACCGACAAAATAGGAGCAAATATTTGCAAACTATTCATCTGAGACGGGATTAATAACTGGAAATATAAGAAGCTCAAACAACTCAATAAAACAATTTAATTAAAAAACGAGCAAAAGACATGAGGAGACATTTCTCCACAAACAAAACATAGAAATGGCGATCACGTATATGAAAAAGTACTCGGCATCACTCATCATCAGAGAAATGTAAATTACAATCGCGATGAGTTTTCATCTCATCCCATTAAAATGCCTTTTAGGCCGGTGGCTCACGCCTGTAATTCCGGCACTTCAGGAGGCGGAGGTGGGCGGATCACCTGAGGTCGGGAGACCAGCCTGACCATCATGGAGAAACTCCCTCTCTACTAAACATACAAAAATTAGCTAGGCGTGGTGGCACATGCCTGTAATCCCAGCTACTTTGGAGGCTGAGGCAGGAGAATCAGTTGAACGCGGGAGGCGGAGGTTGCAGTGAGCTGAGATCACACCCTTGCACTCCAGCCTGGGAGACTATGAGTGAAACTCCATCTCAACATAAATAAATAAATAAAATAAAGTAAAGTAAAATGGCTTTTACTGCAAGACAGGCAAAACAAATGCTGGCAAGATGGTAGAGAAAGGAGAACCCTGGTACCCTGTTGGTAGGAATGTAAATTAGTACAACTATTATGGAGAAAAGTATGGAAATTCTTTAAAAAACTAAAAGGAGGCTGGGCATAGTGGCTTATGCCTGTAACTTCAGCACTTTGGGAAACCGAGGCAGGCACCTCACTTGAGGTCAGGAGTTTGAGAGCAGCCTGCCCAAAATTGGGATATCCCGTCTGTGCTAAAAAAATACAAAAATTAGCCAGGCATGGTGGCGTGCACCTGTAATCACAGCTACTAGGGAGGCTGAGTCAGGACAATCATTTGAACCTAGGAGGCACAGGTTGCAATGAGCCAAGATCTCACCACTTAGACTCCAGCTTGGACTAAGGAGGGAAACTCTTTCTCAAAAAAGAAAAAAAAAAAAAGAGAACTTTCATAGTGTCCAGCAATTTCACTACTGGGTTTATATCCAAAGGAAAGGACATCAGTGTATTGAAGTGATATCTGCACTCATATGACTGTTCCAGCACTGTTCACAGTAGCCAAGATGTGGAGTCAACCTACCTGCCCATCAGTGGGTGAATGGATAGAGAACTGTGGTACACACACACAGTGGAGACTACTCATCCATAGAAACAATAACATCCTGTCATTTGCAGCCACATGGATGGAACTGGAGGTCATTACAAAGATTCCCATTTCTCACCCACATGCAGGAGATAAAAGGTGGATCTCATGAAGGTGGAGAATACAATGGTGGACACCAGAGGCCAGGAAGGGAAGGGTGGAGGGTAACAAAAAAAAGAATATAGATGTATTTATTTATTTAGAAACAGAGTCTCTCTCTGTCTCCCAGGCTGCAGTGCAGTGGCATGATCTCGGCTCAGTGCAACCTCTGCCTCCTGGGTTTAAGTGCTTCTCCTGCCTCAGCCTCCCAAGTAGCTAGGACTACAGGTGCATGCCAGCATGCTCGGCTAATTTTTCTTGTCTGTTTAGTAAAGATGAATTTCCCACATGTTGGCCAGGGTGATCTCGAGTTCCTGATCTTAAATGATCCACCTTCCTTGGCCTCTCAAAGCGCCGAGATTACAACCGTGAACCACCACACCCAGCATATAAAGGTATTTATGACCACTAGATTTTACTTTTAAAAATGGTAAAGGTGGTAAATTATATAGTTACATTTAACCTCAATAAATATTTTTGAAAATGAAAAGAAAAGGGTGTAGGGGTTGCTGGTGATGATATCTCTCTGTGTGGGTGAGAGGCCATGATGGGCTTCTGGGAAATGGATAAGATTGAGGGGCTGAGGGAACCTCTGATCTCCCCAAACTAAGCCCAGTCTCCCCTTCTCTGGGTCTGTCCTGACCGCTTTCTCCATCTGCCTGGGTGCCTGGAGCCCTGATCGGAGGCCTCCATGCAGGCCATGAAGGAGGGTTTGGAGGTGCCCTGTCTGCCATCCTGCGCCCTGACTCCGCCCTCACACCTGCTGTGTCTTCTCTCTGCATCTGTCCATGCTTTTCTCCATCATCAGCAGGAAGCTCCTTAGCTAAGGATTTAGGATCATAGGACATGAGAGAGATATGGGCTTTTCTCACCTGTGACAGAAACAAGCAGTGGGTCACTCGGGTCTGACCACTCGTAGGGAGAGTGACGGAAAGAGCCGAAGCATCTGTAGGTCCCTCCGTGGGTGGCAGGGCCCAGAGGGAAATCTGCCTGGAATGTTCTGTTGACCTTGCGCACTGCAGGGAGCCTACGTTCATGGGCTCCCCCCTCCCTGGATAGATGGTACATGTCATAGGAGCTCCGGGAGCTACAGGACAAGGTCACGCTCTCTCCTGCCTGAACCTTGGGGCCCGGCTGGGCTGAGAGAGAAGGTTTCTCATATGGACCTGGAAGGAGAAGAGGCAGTTTCCTCAGGGAGGTTCTTCCTTGTCATAGCTCCCCTCATACCTGAGCTGAGAACTCACTCCCCTGCTCTATGACCTAATGCTCTCTCTCTCTCTCTCACCCTCCACCCCATCTCTCTTCATATCTGTTTCCTCCTTCTACCTTTTCTGTCTCTCTAGGTCTATGACCTCACTTCCCCACCCTGAGGTATGTTTTCCCTTTTTGGATTGTTTTATTCTCTCTGACCCTCCTTGGATTGGTTGACTTGATCTTCCTTTTTCTTTAATTTTGAGTCTCTCACTTTCTGTCTTGTTCATAACTTTCTGCACATTTCTATCTATTTATCTATTTTGTGTCTATCTACAAATTATCTATCATCTATATTTATGTATCACTTATCTATCTCTCTATCAATTGTCTATCTGTCTATCTATCCATCAATCATCTATTATCTATATATGTATCATCTATCTCTCTCTCTATTACCTCTCTGTCTGCCTCTCTGTCTCTATTTATGTATCATCTATGTATATATCTATGTGTCTATCATCATCATCGTCATCTCTATGTATCATCTATCAGTCATCATCTATGTATCTATAACCAATCCATTATCTATCATCTACCTATTTATCATCTATCTACGTCTATCTATCCATCTATCATCTCTCTCTCTCCGTCTCCTTGTCTTTCTCTGCCTCTCAGTCTCTCTAGTTCTATTTGGAATCTCTGCAATCCATCCCCACATATTTATCTTTCTCTGTCTTTGTGTCCCTCCCTCAGGGTTCTGATTTTGGGGCTTTTCTCTCCTCCTTTCCATCATTCTCTCCATTCTGCCCTCTTTTCTTTCTTTTTATGTGTCTGTGAATCTCTTAATCTCCTTCTTCTGGCTCATTTTGTGTGTGTTTATGTCTTTGTTTTTTGGTGTCCCTGATTTTTCTCTGTGTCTCTCAGCGATCCTATCATATGTGGGATTATTTGGAATATGAGCCTCAGAATCCAGTCTGGGGACCCCAAGTTCACACAGCATACAGGGGTTGGTGTTCAGGGGCCATGATATCCTGGGATGATTACTCTCCATTGCATGGAAGGCAGAGGTGTCAGAATAAACACGGCATCTGTAGGTGGCACAAGGCCTGAGGCCACAGGGCCCAACTCAGGTCAGAAATATGGGTGTCCTTGGGTTCTTCTGGTAGGAACACTTTGTGGAGGTAAAACAGAAATGAAACTTCTAACCTGTGCCAGGTCTCTGAGCAAAGTCAGCATGGAAGGACACCTCTCTCTGGGACATGTCTGTCTGTCTGAGTGTCTCCTTTACCTCTTTCTCTCTTTTCTACCTCCCTGTATGGCCCCTGTGTCTGTCCTCTGTTATGACACCTGTTCTGTACTTATGTCTCCTGTTTCTCTGTCTCTGTTGGTACAGACCTCACCAAGTCACTCTCTTTCCATAAGAATCCCACACTTATCTTCCTCATGACCACCTGGGGGTTCCAAGTCCTGGATCATTCACTCTGTGTCCCAGTGACAATGAGAACAATGTCTAGACACTCTCACCTGTGACCACGATGTCCAGGGGATCACTGGGAGCTGACAACTGATAGGGGGTGTGAGTAACAGAACCGTAGCATCTGTAGGTCCCTGCAAGGGCAAGCATCATGGGACCGATGGAGAAATTGGCCTTGGAGACCCCATCATGGATCTGTCCAACGAGGCTTGAGGGGTCCTTAGAGATCCCCTCTTTGTGCAGAAAGAAGTGCTCAAACATGATATCTGACCAACATTGCAGGATGACTCTCTCTCCTGATTTCACCAGGGGACCTGGGTGGGCCAGGAGGGAAGGTTTTCTGTGGTTTCCTAGAAAGAGAAGTTGTGAGTTTAGAAGGCATCTCTCTTTATCATCCCATCCATGGCACCTGGAATGAGTGAGGGTTCCCCTCCCCGTGTCTGTCTCTCTCCTCCCTCTCTGCATCTCCGTGTCTTTTCTGTGCCCATATCCCCTGGTGCAGGTGCCTCCATCTGTCTTCCTCCCTCTTCTCTGTCCCTCTGTCTCCAGTAGCCCCTGACTCCCTTGCCACTGTGAAGACAGCCTCATCTCTTGGGCTGTTGTATCTGTTTCCCACTAATCTCTTTCCTGCTGTCTATGTGGGGGTGGAAGAGGACAGGCTGCATGTCCAGGCTCTTAGCAGCCTGAATCAATCTCTTTTGAACAAATCCCCAGTTCAAGTGATTCTCTTGCCTCAGCCTCCCCAGTCGTTGGATTACTCGCGCCCACCACCACATCTGGCTATCCTTGTTTGGTTTCCTAACTTGTCCTTGACCTGGGTTCCTGTGTTGGTTTCCTGTTGCTGCTGCAGAAAATTACCACAAACATGGCAGCGGGAGAGAACACACTGACCCCTTCCACTTCTGGAGACAGAAATTGGATCCAGTTCTCCCTGTGCTGAAATCAAGGTGTCTACAGGGCTGCGTTCCCTCTGGAGAATCAGCGAATCAGTTCTCTTGACTTCTCCAGCCCTTAGAGGCCACCTGCATTCTGTGACTAGTGGTCTTCCTCCACCTTCAAAGCCCGCAGTGGCTGATAGCGTCTCCCTCCCACTACACTGCTCTAATCCCCACTCCCCTCTTCCTCCACCTCTCATGTGGACCCTTGTGATTACACTGAGCCCAGTGGGACAGTCCAGGCTGTCTCCCCATCTCAAGGTCAACTCATCAACAACCTGAGCTCCACCTTCCCCTTCAGTCCCCTGCCCTGTAACATAAATAGTCACAGGCTCCAGGGATTACAATGTAGCCATCATTGGGGACAGTGATTCTTCCCACCACAGCACCCATTTCCCCTGTATTCAATCTCCCTTGACCCCAAATACAGTCAGGGCCTGGGTGATGGGACCCTGACGGACACCCCCACCAGAAGCTCTGGGATTCAGGAGGTGGGACAGTGAGAAGCCCAGACGGAAAGCCTCTGACCTGTGACCATGATCACCACGGGGTTGCTGGGTGCCGACCACCCAGTGGGGGAGTGTGGGTGTGAACCCCGACATGTGTAGTTCCCTGCATGTGCTGTGGTCACAGGGCTCATGTTGAAGCTCTCCTGGAATAATCTGCCATGGAAGATGGGAACGTGGATTCTGTCTTCTTTGTATAGCATGAAATTGTTAAACCTATGACGATAGTGACACCGAAGAGTCACGTGTCCTCCTCGAGGCACCACAGCGCTGGGCCAGGCAGACAGGAAGGGCTTGTCCTGACCACCTGGGGGAGAAGGAGGCACTGCCTTAGAGAGGAGGATGTGGAGCCGCCCCTCACTCCCAGTGCCCAGAAGATTCTCCCCATTTCCACTTTCTAAGGCTCCTACCACACCTGGGTGCCCAGGGCTACAGGAAGGACCCATCCTGCATAGACATGGCGTCTCCCTACAACAAGTGTCAGCTGAGAACTTTGAGCAAGTGCTGGAGAAGCAACTCTTACTAGATTTTAATACTGCAAAATTACTCATATAAAACAACACAAAGTAGACACGGCATGGAGGGCAAGTCCTATGTGAATGGAATATCAGCCAATTGATGAACTGAGCCCCCATCAGAGGATTTGGAATGTCAGGGCCATGGCTGTGGTTTCCTCACCTTTTCTGGTAGAAAGACCACAGCCACACTGCAGCCCCTACCATCACGGAAACGCTGGAGGGTGTGAGTTACACCTTTGTCCTCAGAGGACCTGCTGTTCCTAGCACTGCTTCCCTCTCTTTCTCTGCTGCTGACACCACTTCCTCCCTGCACACCCGTCTTGGAGCACCCTAGTCTCACCCCAGTCTTCACAGAGCTTGACTCAGGAAAGGGAAAGAAAGGCCGGGGAGGGCAAGGTCAGAAATGTGGGCCGAGCATCCGAGGGTCCCCTCTTCCTAGTTTATGAGAGACTCCCCGACAGGACTTCCCTCCCATTTCAGGAAAATCCTCTTATGTGGGGAGATGACACCCTAAGGTTTGGGGAAGGACTCACCCACGTGTGGACCGGCCCTCTGGACCAAGAAGAACCCTAGAAAGAAAGATCATGATGGACCATCCATCTGCAGGCAAACCAGGGCACCCTGCTGCCCCCACTGGGCTGTGCGTCTTGGCAGCCAGGCCCTTGCTGGGCTGAAGGTAAACTCACCCTCGCTGCCTACCTGCCCCCAGGAACAAGGATCTCGGCTGTGCAGAGACTCAGCCTCCAGGCCCAGATCTCTACCTCCAGGCCTAGATCTACACAACAGGCCCAGATCTCCACTCCAGGTCCGTATCTCCACTCCAGACCCATATCTCCTCTCCAGGCTGATAAGTCCACTCCAGGCCCATATCTCCACTCCAGGCTCCTATCTCAACTCCAGGCTCATATATCCACTCCAGGCTCATATCTCCACTCCAGGCCCATATTTCCACTCCAGGCTTCTATCTCCTCTCCAGGCCCATATCTCCTTTCCAGGCTTGTATGTCTGCTCCAGGCCCGTATCTCCACCCCAGGCCCATATCTCCACTCCAGGATCATATCTCCACTCCAGGCCCAGATCTCCACTTCATGCCCTTAACTCCACCTCCGGGCCCATAACTCCACCTCTAGGCCCATATCTCCACTCCAGGCCCATATCTCCACTTCAGGCCCATATCTCTACTGCAGGCCCATAACTCCACCTCCAGGCCCATATCTCCACTCCAGGCCCATCGCTCCACTTCTAGGCCCATCACTCCACCTCTAGGCCCACATCTCCCCTCCAGGCCCATCCATATCTCCCCTCCAGGCCCATATCTCCACCCCAGGCACATATCTCCACCCCAGGCCCATATCTCCACTCCAGGCCCAGATCTCCACTCCAGGCACATATCTCCACCCCAGGCCCCTATCTCCACTCCAGGCCCAGATCTCCACTCCAGGCCCAGATCTCCACTTCAGGCCCATAACTCCACCTCCAGGCCCATAACTCCACCTCTAGGCCCATATCTTTACCTCCAGGTCCAGATCTCCATCCCCGCACTCCCTCCCTCGATTCCCTTCCAGGACTCACCAACACACGCCATGCTGACGACCATGAGCAACATGGTGCTGCCGGTGCAGACAGGCGGCCGCGCCCCAGCTCAGCTCAGCAGCGCACAGGATGTTATTTGGCGCCCTGCCCATGCAGTTTACATGTTGACCACATCATGGGAGGGTGACGTACGCAGGCTCTTTCTACCTTGCATGAGGCCCAGTGGGTGCTCGCTCAAGAGCGGAACATGGCTTCCTGGAAATTGCTCTCACTAGAATTGACACCTCGCGTCCTTCACTATGACCAACTCAAAACACGTCTTAGATCCAACCTCCCGAACACGAGATGCCTAAAATCTGTGCTAACATGAAAGACTTTTCATGTATTTTTATTGCTTTTATCTGAGATTCAAACTCTTCTTCCTGTGTAATATGCAAAATATCTAATAGGTATTATTAAGGTTTTCAGAGCAATTGTGACTAATAAACCATTAGAATTTTTCATGATTGTATTTCTAGTATTACAGCAGAACCAGTTCAAATGATTTAAACTCCCAGGGAAGGATTATGCAATTATTTACAATCTTAGAATTGTACTTTATCAGCAAAAATCACAACATGTAAATTCTGGATTTTTGTAGATTTATCTAGAATTTGTCTCATGTCCCAAGATTTCAGAGTTCCAACTCATGGTTTGCTCTCTCTCTGTCTCTCTGCCTCCCTCATTTTAAATTTTACAGAAATATCCAGTAACATAATGCTATAGAAAATCAATTTCCCCAGCACTTTGGAAGCCGAAGTGAGTGATCAACCGAGGTCAGGAGTTTGAGACCAGCCTGGCCAATATAGTGAAACCATGTCTCTGCTAAAAATACAAAAATTAGCCATGCCTGGTAGCAGGCACTTGTAATGCCAGCTATTCAAGAGGCTGAGGCACGGAATCCCTTGAACCTGGGAGGCGGAAGTTGCAGTGAGCCGAGATCGTGCCACTGCACTCCAGCCTGGGCAACAGAGCGAGACTCTGCCTCAAGAAAAATAAAAAAAGCATAGCAAATAGCCTATAATAAATAACTAGAGGACTCCAGCTACCAAATTTTAGGGGTTGTATAAGGCTGCATAAAATGCAGCATTCTCAAGAGAGTGGACAGAGAGAGAGCCACTGAGCAGAAAACAGTGTCTAAAATACATCCGTGTACACACAGTCCCTTTATAGTTGACAAAGGCTGCCATGTGGTTTAAGGTGGAATAGAATGTCTTCTCAATAAATAACATGGGCCCAAGGGTTACACATGGAGAAAAATATATCTAAAAGTATTCTCACACTATAAAACACTTGTTTATTTTATCTTGTTATTGTAATTTTTTTATGTTTTATATTTAAAATTGAGAAATAAAAATTATATACAGTCATCCCTCACTATTCGTGGGTGATTGGTTTCAGGATCTCCACTCAGATAGCACAATCTGCAGATGCTCAAGCCTCTTACATGAAATGGCACAGCATTTGCAAATAACCCATGCACATCCTCCTGTGTACATGAAATCATCCCTTGATTATTTATAATTCCTGATACAGCCTACACACAGCTTCATTTGTGTCCATTCAACATAGTTTTGCTTTTTGAAACTTTGTGGATTTTTTCTCTGAATATTTTTGATTTATATTTGGTTCAATAAACACCTGTAAATCCCACAGATACAGAGGACCGACTGTATATTTATAGTATGAAAGATGATGTGTTGATATGTGTCCCCGTGGAGATGAGACTGACAAGGCCTATGACTCTACAAATGTTTCATCATGGAATGACTCTGCCAGCTTTCCAGGTCTGCAGAGAGTAAGAATATCACTTGTTCATGTGATTCACGATCCTTGGAACCTCTTATGTGCTGCATCTTTGGATGGAAATTGGAGTCTCAGAGACAAATCAGGCTCCACCCTGCTTCCAGAAGCTCAGAGTCCAGGGGTGAGAACCCAGTGGAGAACAGTTGGAGTTATTTGGACATGGTAATGATAACACTGGAAACTTTCAGCCAAAAAAAGAGTCACCTAAAGAATGAAGGCAGACATGTTTATTTGAAGAGGAGAGAACTACACTGAAATCAAAAAAATTTTATAAGGTTTGCTGATGCCAGAAGGCTGAAAAATAGTCTGAGGAAAGGTGGAACAGCACGAGGGAAGGTGGAACAGCACGTGTCTAAGTGCCGTCTTAAGAGAGAGCCTCTTGTATGTTTGGAATTGTGAGTTCCTCAGTGTGATTGCAGCCTCAAGTAGACTAGGAAGTAAGCCAGTTAGGTTGGAGAGGTGGGCAGGGGTCAAGTGAAATAGAGAATTGTGGGCTAAGCAAAGGAGTGTGTTTTCTCTGCAGCAGGCAGTGGGGACCTTAGACATTGGTAAGCAAGAGACAGGCACCAGATTTGTGGTGTGAGGAAGAGTGATGCTCTAAGATGGAGACTCACGCCTTCAGATTCCAGCTGCTGGTACATTAGAGCTGGCAAGCTGGGTTTGAGACAGGGCTGTTGTCTCCCTAGAAGATCCCATCAAGGCCTGACTGTGGTGCTCATGGGCAGGAGACAACGCTCTGGGCTCAGCATTTGGAAGTTCTATACACACGCTGGTATCTGTTGAGGGTCTCTTGCTCCTCTGAGAAGGGCCAGTGATTTTTCTCTGTGTGAAAATGCAGTGATCCAACTGTGCGTATGTCACCTCCTGAGGGTCTTGTTCATCAGAGTCCTGGAGAGAGGGAAATCCTGAGTGAGGGAGGGTGTTCACATTTTTCAGGACTATTAGGGAATAAGACTGTATCCATGAGGCTGGGCTAGGAGGACCTACCTCCCTGTTCACTGTTCTGTGTCCCGCAGGCTCTTGGTTCATTACAGCAGCATCTGTAGGAGACGGAAGCAATCAAAACAGCTGGGAGGGCACTTCTGGGTCCTCATTTCATGAACAGATACCAACACACAGGGGGAGGCCATAGGTGCCTGAGGTCCCTCAGCTGCCAACAGCCAGACTCAGACATTCCATCTCTCTGAGTGCAAGACCCCATTCCATGAATAGCTGTCAGTTCCCATCCCATTGATTCTATCTCCCACTTTCTGCCTGTCATGGAATCTTCTCCTGGATGTGAGTGGCTGCAGGGGACGTGAGGATACAGTTCACAATCAGGCAATGGTCTGTGAGCTGAAGGCAGGGGCAGGGTGTCTGGTGCTCTCTCTAGAAAGCTCTGCCTCTGGCTCCTGCCTTGGGCCAGAGACTTTCCTGCCAGTGAGGAACACACACCTGCGTGCTCCCATCCTGCTTCCGCACAGGGCCCTGAGTTCTCTGGCCTCTGCTTCGTGAGGCTTACTTTTTTTTTTGGAGCACCAGCGATGAAGGAGAAAGAAGGGAAGGATGGTGAAGAGGATGATGGCCACTGAGTACCTAATCACAGCATGCAGGTGTCTGGCGATACCTGGAGGAAGATGAGAATCCAATAAGAAGCTAACCATAGCAGTTCCTCTTTGTGGATTGTCTCTCATTTCTTGGTTGCCAGGCAACCACATAAAACACCTCTTTAGGACAAGCACCCACGAGGCGGGAGACCCAGCTTTCTCCTGCTTTCTCCGTTATAGTTTTCATAATAACAATAGAATGTGCTGATGATACAACTGCTATTGTTTCAATGTTTGACCCCTCCAAACCCCACTTTGAAATTTAATCCCCAGTGTGGGAGGTTGTGCCTATTGGGAGGGGTGTTTTGGTCATGGGGGTGGATCCATCATGAATAGATTAATGCTGTCCCCAGAGGACGGGTTTAGCAAGTTCTCC
This sequence comes from Homo sapiens, assembly GCF_000001405.40. NCBI lineage: Eukaryota > Metazoa > Chordata > Mammalia > Primates > Hominidae > Homo > Homo sapiens. Next base: position 114,216 of record NW_016107306.1, on the reverse strand, counting down.
CTCTATTAGTACCCTGGAGAGTTGATTCTTAAAAAGAGCTTGGAAGCTCCATCACACCCCCTTTCTCCCTCTCTTGCCATGTGATCTCTGTGGTCTCTGCACACGCAGGACCCCCTTCTCTTCTGTCAGTGTGGGAGCAGCCTGAGGCCGCAGCCAGAAATAGATGGTAGTGTCCTGCTTCTAGTACAGCGTGCCGATCAGTGAGCCAAACACATCTCTTTTCTTTAGAAGATACCCAGGCTCAAGTGTTCTTTTATAGCAACAAAAATAGGCTAAGACAGCAACATCCTGAGATCAGGAGGAACGTCTCAGAACAGCCTGGGCTGTCTTCCTGTTCTTCCTGGAGGAGAACATCATGCAGTGCTTTAGCTGAGTGTTCCCTGTGGCTCCAGGGTACAAAACCCAGGCTGGGCTGCTTTCTGGCTTCCCCCAGCTACAGTGCACATGAAGTGACTCCATGTGTCCTGAGCAGTTTTTCTGAGCCTTGAGGGACTGGCTCACCCTGAAAGGAAGGTTTCTGTTGTCACTCGCTGCTTATCTATAAGTAATGAACCTGCCTATGTAATGTATTCCCTGTGTGTTCTGTCTACCTGGAGTGATGGTGAGTGATAGAAATTGGCACAGGCCCAGGTGCAGTATGGGAGGTGTTTAGAGTCTTCTCTGGGAAGACTGGACTGGGATTGATACACAGTGAATGTGCTTTACAGTTTCTACATCCACAACCCTCTTGACTCAAACAAATTACATTCTCCAAGAAAAGGAAAAAACAGTGACATTGAAATCAACATAAGTGAGGTTGAGCTGTCTTATATCAAACAGCCAGGAAATAATGATGAAGCTCGTGGGCAACATGCTACTTTTGTCATCTTGGGAGTCAGATATTAGGCTGCTGTTCCACCCGAGAGTCTGGGGGAAAGACCACCCCCTCCATCATCTGTTGCTTCAATACAGCCTGTCTTTCTGTGAATTACTCCAAAAGGTGACCAGGAGATAGTGCTGGCACTGGTCTCTGAGTCTACGATCTGAACTCCAAAGAATATTAGTTTTTACCTCCCCATGATCTATCTGTATCATTAATGTGATTGGAAGTAGGGGTGAGGTGGGGGATTTGGGTGAAGGGGCAAGTTTTGTGCCATGAACAGATCACGTTCTCTATTCCAGGACCTGTGCTGGTGGGTTTCACATTTTCCATATGATCTCATGCTCACAGAAAGCCAAATAAGGAAGATGTTTTCGCCTGATTTTCTTATGGATAGGATAAAGGATCAAAGAAGTCATTATAGAGAAATAGAAAAATGATGATTGGAATTGGTGTGCCTTTGTCATTCGTGTATGTTATATTATATTTATGTATTCTTTATTTTTATTTTTTGCCATGGAGTCTCACTCTGTCACCTAGGGTGCAGTGCAATGACGCGATCTTGGCTCACTGTAACCTCTCCCTCCCTGGTTGAAGCCATTCTCCTTCTTCAACTTCCTGAATAGCTGGTATTACAGGCACGCGCCACCACCCCCAGCTAGTTTTTGTATATTTAGTAGAGATGGGGTTTCACCATGTTGTCCAGGCTGATCTCGAACTCCTGATCTCACTTGATCCAGCCTCCTCAGCCTCCCAAAATGTTGGGTTACAGGTGTGAGCCACCGTTCAGAACCTTGTGTGTTATATTATAATAGGTCTCTTCCTTTGCACCACCCCTCATGTATCTCTCACTCCTCTGCCAAGTATTGATTTACATGTAGGAAAAATAAATCTCAGAAAGAAATCAATGAAGTGAAGATTAAACAATTAGGAAAAATCAAACCAGGCAAGCCCTCCCTGCAAATTACTCTACCTCACAAACACATCTTGTGTCCATCTTTCATTCATTTAGTGTCTAAATCAGCACCACATTTCACCAGGGGGGCGGGAATTGCCTTTTCCACAGTCTCCTAGATTCCAGTTATGCACCTGGGCCTCCCTTATTTTCATGTCAGTCACTATTCATCATGTAGGGATTCCCAGTTAGCCCCGAGGTAAGTCCAATGGCTGTGAGTATCAAACACACGCTCCTTGTTCCTCCTTAGTTTCCTGTGTACCCAGAGTGCTCTCTGTCTCTCCACAGTCGTCTTGTCATTCTCCCCATGTCATTCCCAGCATTTCAGGCAGAGCCTCTTCCTTCCACATAACATTGTTTTCACCTTTGTGCCTTCACGGCTGACAGCTGTGTGGAAAATCCTTCCGCCAATCTTCCAGGGGTTGATCTATTTTTTTCATTAAGGTCACAAGTATTATTTGATCAGTGAGAACTTCTCTGTCACCCGAAATTATACACTCAGCATTATCTATTATTTCTTTTAAAATACGGCTCGGCGCCTTGGCTCACGCCTCTAATCTCAGCACTTTGGGAGGCTGAGACGGGCGGATCCCTTAAGGTTGGGAGTTTGAGATAGCCTGGGCAACATGGTAAAACCTTGTCTGTACTAAAAAAAAATACCAAAAAAAAATTAGCCAGGCGTGGTGGGACATGGGTGTAATCCCAGCCTCTCGGGAAGCTGAGTGTAGAGAATCGCTTTAACCTGGGAGGTGGAGGTTGCGGTGAGCCGAGATCCCGCCACTGCACTCCAGCCTGGGGCACAGAGGGAGACACCGTCTCATAAAAACAACCAATCAATCAATCATTCTCATGCACAGATGCTTCCCAATGGATCATTCATTTATTGGTCCACTGGTGTATTCATTTTCTGCCCTCCCATTTAATCCTTTGCAATATCAGTGTCCAAGAGCAGAGGCCAAATGCACCTTGTTTACCATTTGTGGAAAGGATAAGAATGCCGCCCCACCCCAAAATGTTCCTGTCCTAGTCGCCATATCTTGTGAATATGTTATTTTACATGGAAAAAAGGAATGCAGATTGCAGATGGAATTACGGTTGCTAATCAGCTAACCTTAAAAGGAGGGTATCCTAGATGATTTTAGGGAAATTATGATGGATTATCTTGGTGTTTCCAATAGAATGCCAAAGTCCTTAAAAGATGAGGAAGAAGGCAGAGCAGCATTCAGAGAAAGAGGTGTGGACAAGGAAGAAGGGTCTGAGTGATGCCGTGTGAGAGGCGTGACCAGCCTTTGTGGACTTTGAGGGAGGAAGACGGGGACCAGGAGCCAAGGAATGTGGGAGCCTCTAGGAGCTGGGAAAAGTGAGGAAGCAGATTCTTGCCTGGAACATTCAGAGGGAAGGCAGCCTTGCTGTCACCTTGATTTTAGCCCAGTGAGATGATGCATTTCATACTTCTGAGCTACAGCACCATGAGATATTTTTTAAAAATGTGGTTTCCATCCACGAAGCTTGTGGAAATTTGTTATGGCAACATAGGAAAAAGTTCCACACTGCACAGTCTGAGCATGGGGCAGTGGCTGAACGAGTAAGTGGAAGTGTCATGTGCACGGATGAACTACGTTCTCTCTTACCGCAAAGCTCTTGTTCCACTAAGTCAACCAGGGTTGGATCATGACAGACAGGAGCTCATTCCTTGGCAAGTAGAACTTCTCTACAAACACACCACCCTCAAAAATGTTCCCCTTCCTTCCCCTTCTCAAGCCCCCAGGCATTTGTCCTCCCAGTTAGGAATGCAGGCAGAACAAACACAGCATTTTTCCTGAGAAGAATGTCTGATTTGCACTCATCCTTCTACCCTGAGGTCTCAGCAGCAGAAAATTAGAGATTAAGAGATTTCACTGAGCCCTGTGCTGGGCCCAGATCCCTTTCGCTGTTGGAGTGTCTGGGGTTCAGAGACAATGGAAGACAGGCCCACAATCACAGAGCTGGCAGGTGCTGAGCCAACGCTTGAATCCAAGGCTTCTACCTCCCCAGGTTTCCAAAAGCAGAGATAAGAGGGGTCCTTCACTTACCAGTTTTGAAGCTTGGTTCAGTGGGTGAAGGCCAACTACTAGAAGGGTTTCCTAGAACATGGGACAGGAGATAGGTGTGGCAATGAGGATGCCTGTCTTTTCTACTCAATGGAAATCTTTGAGGTTGGTTCATGGCCAACCTTCTATTATCTAATGTTGGGCCCTGGGAGTCCTGGCATCCCATTCTCCATAATCATTGTAGGTGACACCAACTATCTTGAGACTTCAAGGTATAAGGAGAAAACAGGAGCATCACACTACCTGACTTAAAAATATGTTACAGAGCTGTAGTAAGCAAAACAACATGACATTGGCATAAAGAAAAGCACATAAAACAATGAAGCAGAATGAAGAACACGGATGTAATCCACCCATTTACATCCAATGGACTTTGACAAAGGTTCGAAGAATCTACAATCTGGAAAGGACAGTCATTTCAATAAATGGTGCAGGGAAAACTGGATATCTACATGCAGAGGGATGAAACTGCACCTCTACCTCTCACCATACACAAAAATCAGATGAAAATGGATTAATGACTTAAGACCTGAATCCATTAAATGTCTAAAAGGAAACACTGGAGAAATGCTCCAGGACATTTGTCTGAGGGAAGACATTTTGTTTAAAACCTCAAAAACACAAGTAATCACAACAACAACAAAAAAAATAGACCATTGGGATTATATCAAATCAAGCAGCTTCTGCACCGCAAAGGAAGCAACCAATGAAGTGAAGAAGAGAAAACCCACAGAATGGGAGCAAATATTTGCAAACTATGCATCTGAGATGGGATTAATAACTAGAATATAAAAGAAGCTCAAACACCTCAATAAAACTAATAATTTAATTATAAAATTAGTAAAAGACCTGAACAGACATTTCTCAATGAACAAAACATACAAATGAACATATATACATTGCATATATGAAAAAGTGCTCAGTATCACTAATCATCAGAGAAATGCAAATGAAGTCACAATGAGCTATCATCTCACCCCATTACAATGGGTTTTATCTCAGAGACAGACAAAACAAATGTTGGCAAGGTGGTGGAGAAAGGAGAACCCTGATACACTGTTGATAGGAATGTAAATTAATACAGCCATTACAGAGGAGAAGAATATGGAAGTTCCTTAAAAACTGAAAAGAGATTAGGCACTGTGGCTCACGCTTGTAATCCCAGCACCTTGGGAGGCTGAAGTGGGCAGATCACTGGAGGTCAAGAGTTCGAGACCAGCCTGGCTAACATGGTGAAACCCCGTCTCTACTAAAAATACAAAAATCAGCCAGGCTTGGTGGCGGGCACCAGTAATCCCAACTACTCGGGAGGCTGAGGCTGGAGAATCACTTGAATCCTGGAGGTAGAGGTTGCAGTGAGCCCAGGTGGTGCCATTGCACTCCAGCTTGGGCAACAAGAGTGAAACGCTATGTCAAAAAAACAAAAAGCATAAAACAAAACCTAAAAAGAGAACATCCAGAGGATCTAGCAATTCCACTAGTGGGTGTAAATGCAAAGAAAAGGACTTCAGTGTATTGAAGTGACATCTGCACTCCCATGACTGTTCCAGCACTGTTCACAGTAGCCAAGATGTGGAGTCAACCTACCTGCCCATCAGTGGATGAATGGATAGAGAGAATGTAGTACATACACACAATGGAGACAACTCATCCATAGAAAGAGTAACGTCCTGTCATTTGCAACCACATGGATGGACTAGAGGTCATTACAAGGATTGCCATTTCTTACTCACATGCAGGATGTAAAAGGTGGACCTCATGAAGGTAGAGAGTAGAATGGTGGATACCAGAGGTTAGGAAGGAAGGGGTGGAGGGTAACAAAAGAAGAATATAAAAGTATTTATTTATTTATTTATTTAGAGACAGAGTCTCTCTGTGTCACCAGGCTGCAGTGCAGTGGCATGATCTCAGCTCACTGCAACCTCCTCCTCCTGGGTTTAAGCCACTCTCCCGCCTCAGCCTCCCAAGTTGCTGGGATTATAGGCGCCTGGCACCATGCCTGGCTAATTTTATTTTTTTTGTCTTTTTAGTAAAGATTGGTTCCCCCATGTTGGCCAGGCTGGTCTCCAGCCCCTGATTTTAAATGATCCACCTGCCTTGGCGTCTCAAAATGCTGAGATTACAGGCGTGAGCCACCGCACACAGCATATAAAGGTATTTATGATCCCTAGATTTTACACTTAAAAATGGTAAAGTTGATAAATTATATAGGTATATTTAACCTCAATCAGCATTTTTTCAAAGGAAAAGAAAAAGTGTAGGGGTTGCTGGTGATGACATCTCTGTGTAGGTGAGAGGCCAGGGTGGGCTTCTGGGAAATGGGTAAGGTTGAGGGGCTGAGGGAACCTCTGATCTCCCCAAACTGAGCCCAGTCTCCCTCCTCTGGGTCTGTCCTGACCACTTTCTCCATCTGCCTGGGTACCCGGAGCCCTTACTGCAAGCTTCCATGCAGGCCATGCAGGAGGGTTTGGAGGTGCCCTGTCTGCCATCCTGTGCCCTGATCCCGCCCTCACACCATGCTGCATCTTCTCTCCACATCTGTCCATGCTTCTCTCCATCATCAGCAGGAAGCTCCTCAGCTAAGGCTCTAGGACCATAGGACATGGGACAGACATTGGCTTTCCTCACCTGTGACAGAAACAGGCAGTGGGTCACTCGCGTCTGACCACTCGTAGGGAGATCCATGGAAAGAGCCGAAGCATCTGTAGGTCTCTCCGTGGGTGGCAGGACCCAGAGGGAAGTCGGCCTGGAATGTTCCATTGATGCTGGGCACTGCAGGGAGCCTAAGTTCATGGGCTTCCCCCTCCCTGGATAGATGGTAGATGTCAAAGGAGCTCTGGGAGCTGCAGGACAAGGTCACGTTCTCTCCTGTGCGAACCGTGGGGCCCGGCCGGGCTGTAAGCGAAGGTTTCTCATATAGACCTGGAAGGAGAAGAGGCAGTTTCCTCAGGGAGGTTCTTCCTTGTCACAGCTCCCCTCCCACCTGAGCTGAGAACTCACTGCCCTGCTCTATGGCCTAGTGCTCTCTCTCTCTCTCTCACCCTCCACCCCCAACTCTTCCTGTCGATCCCTCCCTATGTGGTTCCAGCCTGGTGGTGGCATCAGCAGTGCACCCTTGCTGATCTCAGGGTAGCCAACCTTCTTGTTTGGTTTTTTAACTTGTCCTTCACCTGGGTTCCTGTGTTGGTTTCCTGTTGTTGCTGGAGAAAATTATCACAAACATGGCGACAGGAGAGAACACACTGACCCCTTCCACTTCTGGAGACAGAAATCAGACCCTGTTCTTCCTGGGCTACAATCAAGGCATCTGCAGGGCTGCATTCCCTCTGGAGACTCGGGAGAATCAGTTCCATTGATTTCTCCAGCCCCTTCGTGGCTCGTGGTCTTCCTCCACCTTCAAAGCCCACAGTGGCTGGTGGAGTATCCCACGATGCTGCTCTAATCCCCATTCTCCTCTTCCTTCTCCACTCATATGGACCCTTGTGATTACACTGAGCCCAGTGGGAGAGTCCAGGCCATCTCCCCATCTCAAGGTCAACTCATCAACAACCTGAGCTCCATCTTCCCCTTCAGTCCCCTGCCCTATAACATAGTCACAGGCTCCAAGGATTACAATGTGGCCATTGATGGGGACAGTTATTCTTTCCAACACAGCACCCATTCCCCTGTATTCAATCCCCCTTTACCCCAAATATAGTTGGGGCCTGGATGATCGGACTCTGGTGGACACCCCCACCAGAAGCTCTGGGACTCAGGAGGTGGGACAAGGAGAAGCCCAGACAGGAGCCCTCTGACCTGTGACCATGATCACCAGGGGGTTGCTGGGTGCCGACCACTCAGTGGGGGAGTGCGGGTGAAAACCTCGACATCTGTAGGTCCCTGCGTGTGCTGGGGTCACAGGGCTAATGAGGAAACTGTTCCAGAATATTCTGTTGTAGAGCTCAGGGACAGGGACCCCATCTTTCTTGTACAGCGTGAAGATGTTAAACCCACGACGATAGTGACACCGAAGAGTCACGTGTCCTCCTTGAGGCACCACAGCGCTGGGCCAGGCAGAGCAGAAGGGCTTGTCCTGACCACCTTGGGGAGAAGGAGATGCCGCCTCAGAGAGGAGTATGTTGAGCTGCCCCTCCCTCCCTGTGCTCAGAAGATTCTCCCCATTTCTTCTTTCTAAGGCTCCTACCACACCTGGGTGCCTGGGGCTACAGGAAGGACCCATCCCGCATAGACGTGGCGTCTCCCTACAACAAAAGTGTCAGTTGAGAACTGAGCAGGTGCTGAGTAAGGGACTCTTACTAGATTTTAATACTGCAAGATTAGTTACACCAAACAACACAAAGTAGACATGGGGTGGAGGGTATGACCTTTGTGAATGGAATATTAGCTAATGCCTGAACCACAATAAACAACTGAGCTCCATCAGAGGATTTGGAATGGCAGGGTCGTGGCTGTGGTTCCCCCACCTCTTCTGGCAGAATGACAGCAGCCACACTGCAGCCCCTACCGTCATGGAAACGCTGGAGGGTGTGAGTTACCCTCTTGTGCTCAGAGGACCTGCTGTTCCTAACACTGCTACCCTTCCCTCCTCTGTCGGTGACACCACATCCCCCCACACACCCCAGCTTTGAGCACCTCAGTATCCCGCCTGGGCCACACAGAGCTCAACTCAGCCATGGGGAAGAAAGGCTGGGGAGGGCTAAGACAAAACAGAGGGCTGAGCATACCAGGATCTCCTCTTACTAGTTCATGAGAGACTCCCAGGATCTCCTCTTACTAGTTCATGAGAGACTCCCAGGATCTCCTCTTACTAGTTCATGAGAGACTCCCAGGATCTCCTCTTACTAGTTCATGAGAGACTCCCCCCAGGCCTTCCCATGGTCAGCCCATCAGCCCACCCTCTGTGCTGCCTCCCTCCCATTTCCGGAAAATTCACTTGTATTGGGGTGAAGATGGCAACCCATCATTTGGGGAAGGACTCACCCACGTGTGCCCACACACTCTGGTCCAAGAAGAACCCTGCAAAGAAAGATCATGATGAACTATTCATCTCGGCACCAACCTACCCTTTCCTCCTGAGCCACTGGGCGCCACGCTGGACTGAAAATTAACTCATCCTCACCACTCACTTGCTTCAGAACATGGCTCTCTGCTGGGGAGACACCCAATCTGCAGGCCCATAGTGTAACCCTGGTGCTCCTTCCCTTCCAGGACTCACCAAGACATGCCAGGATGATGACCGTGGGTGACATGGACATGGTGCAGCTTCTGCTGCCAGGACGCAGTGACTCGGCTCGACTGACCGGTGCAGAGGATGTGGTGAGGGGCCCGGATCGTGCAGTTGACACATTGACCACAACATGTGAAGGGGACATAGGTAGGCTTCTTCTACGTCATATGAGGTTCAAGTGGTGAGTCAGTCAAGGGAGGAATGAGGGTTTCTGAAAACTGCAGACTAGACTTGTCAGTTCACATCATGCGCAATGGCCAGGCTCAAAACACATCTCAGACTCACTTACCCCTGCACGGGACGATTGAATTCTGCACTCACATGAGGAACTTTTGATGTATTTTTTTTTGTTTCTACCTGAGATTCAAACTCTCCTTGATATGTAATATGCAAAATACCTAATAGGTTTTATTAACACTATAGAGCAATCGTATTAAATAAATCATCATAATTTTCCATGGTTGTATTTTTCCTGTTAAGCCAGAAACAGATAAAATGATTTAAATCCCAGTAGAAAAGACTATATAGTTATTTCACATCATAGAATTCCACCTTATTAGCAAAAACACAATATGTCAATTGAAGGTCTGGTCGTGTTATCTAGAATTTGTCTTATGACACAAGAGTCCAAATTCACAGTTCCCTGTCTCCCTTTTTGTCTCTCTGTAACGTGTGCTTTTTTTCTCCCTGTGTTGTTTGTGTGTCTTTCTTTCTCTCTCTCATTTGAGGAAAAAATATCAGACTGATAACATCCTCCAACTTGATACTGGAATATTGCAATAACTGAAGGTTGAAATCTACACATTTAATGTGCTGTCATTCTTACAAATGTCTCTTATTTACACCTACCTTTCTGGAGTTTGTAAGAACTTTTTCACTATGCATTTTAAATTTGTAAAACTCATAATTTTTAAAAAGGGATGGGTCTCACTGTTTGCCCAGGGTGGCCTTTACTCATTCTATAAGGCTGGCATCACCCTGATACTAAAGACAGAAAAGAATATTAAACAAAAGAAAACTACATGCCAATATTCCTGATGAGCATAGATGCAAAAATCCACAAAAAATACTAAGAACTGAATCCCGCAGCATATCAAAAAGTGAATCCACCATGATCAAGTCAACTTTATTCTTAGGGTGCAAGGTTGGTTGAACATACACAATCAATACATGTGATTCATCACCTAAACAAAACTAAAAACAAAAACCACATGATCTTCTCAACACACATGTAGAACATACTTTTTACTAAGCATTTCTTCATGTTAAAAGCCCTCAACAAGCTAAGCATTGAAGAAACATAACTCAATATAATAAGAGCCGCCTATGACAAACCCACAACCAACATCATACTGAATGAGTAAAAGCTGGAAGAAGTTCCCTTCATAAGTGAAACAAGACAAGAATGCCCACTCTCACCATCCTATTCAACATAGTACTTGAAGTCCTAGACAGAGCCATCAGGAAAGAGAAAGAATTATAAGGCATCCAAGTAAGAAGAGAGTAGCAGAGAGAGGTAGTCAAATTACCTCTGTTTGAAGATGAGATAATTTCTATACCTAGAAACCCCATAGTCTCTGCCCAAAGGCTCCTACATCTGAGAAACAAACTTCAGCACAGTTTAAGGGCAGAAAGTCAATGTACAGGCTGGGTGTGGTGTCTCAGCCTGAAATCTAGCACTTTGGGAGGGCGAAGCGGGTGGATCACCTGAGGTCTGGAGTTCGAGACCAGCCTGGCCAACATGGCGAAACCCTGTCTCTACTAGAAACACAAATATAGCCGGACGGGGTGGTACGCAACTGTAGTCCCAGCTGCTTGGGAGGCTGAGTCAGGAGAACCGCTTGAACCTGGGAGGCAGAGGTTGCAGTGAGCGGAGATCACGCCATTGCACCTCAGCTTGGGCAACAACAGTGAAACTGCGTCTCAAAAAAAAAGCCAAAACAAATTTAATTAATGAGGAAAAGGGTATTTGTGGTGTCCATGATGATGTTTTCATATAGGTACACATTGTGGAATGGATGAAACAACCTCTTTATCTATTTATTTTTTCACATACTTGTATGTTTTGTGTGTGTGGTGAGAACATGTAAAATCTAATCTCTTAGTAATGTTCAATACACCATATGTTGCTATTAAATGGAGTCACCAAGACATACAATAGATCTCTTGAACCGATTTCTTCTAACTGAAATTTTGCATCCTTTGACCAACATCTCTTCAATCTCTCTCCTTCCCAGGTTCTTTCGACGACCATTTTACTGTTCCTCTAGGTTCCACTTCTTACACTCCACACATGAGATCATGTGGCATTTGTCTTTCTGTGCCTGGATTGTTTCCCTTAACATAATGTCCTCTAAGTTTTTTCACATTGTCACAAATGAGAGGACTTCCTTCTTTGTTGTAAAGGTTGTATAGTACTTCATTACGTTCCTATCGTATACCACGTTTTCTTTGTCCATGCACCCATAGATGGGCAGTAAGGGTGATTCCACATCTTGGCTGTTATGAATAATGCGGCTGTAAACATGGGAATGCAGATATCTCTTCAACATACTGATTCCACTTCCTTTGGATACATGCGCAGTAGTTGGATTGCAGACACATATGGGAATTCTATGTTTAATTTTTTCAGGAACTTCCAGACTGTTTTCCATAATGGTTGTGCTAATTTACATTCCCATCAACTGCATACAAATGTTCCCTTTTCTCCACATCCTCGTTAACCCTTGTTATTTTTTATGTTTTTGATAATGGTCTTTTTTTTTTTTTTTTTGAGACTCAGTCTTGCTCTGTCACCCAGGCTGGAGTGCAGTGGCACAATCTCGGTGTACTGCAACCTCTGCCTCCTGGGTTCAAGCGATTCCCCTGCCTCAGTCTCCAGAGTAGCTGGGACTACAAGTGTGCGCCACCAAACTCTGCTAATTTTTGTATTTTTAGTAGGGATGGGATTTCACCATATTGGCCAGGCTGGTTTCGAACTGCTGACCTCAGGTAATCTCCCTGCCTCGGCCTCCCAAAGTGCCTGAATTACAGGCATGAGCCACCATGCCCAGACTGTTAATGGTCATTCTAAGAGGTGTGAGGTGATATCTCATTCTAGTTTTAATTTTTATTTAGCTGATGTTTAGTAATGCTAATCATTTTTTCATATACCTTTTGGTGATTTGTCTTATTCTTAGAAATGTTTATTCAGATACTTTGCCCATTTTTTTAAGTTGGGTTATTTGATTTCTTACCATTGAGTTGTTTGAGTTTCTTACATATTTTGGATATTAATTCCTTATTAGATGTATGGGTGCAAATATATTCTCCCATTCCATAGGTTGTCTTTCCACTTGTTGAGTTTTTTTTTTTCTTTGCAGAAACTTTCAATTTGATATAATGTTATTTGTCTACTTTTGCTTTTGTTGCCTGGGCCTTTGGGTTAATATCCAAAATGGTTTTGCCCAAGCCAGTGGAGTTTTCCCTTGATTTCTTTTAGTAGTTTTTTTTTTTTTTAAGATGGAGTCTCACTCTGTTGCCCCGGCTGGAGTGCAGTGATGCGATCTCGGCTCACTGCAACCTCTACCTCCTGGGTTCAAGTGATTCTCCTGTCTCAACCTCCCGAGTAGCTGAGATTACAGGCACCCACAACCACACCCAGCTGTTTTTGTATTTTTAGTAGAGGCGGGATTTCACCATGTTGGCCATGCTGGTCTTGGAATCCTGACCTTAGGTGATCTGCCCGCCTTGGCCTCCCAAATTGCTGGGATGATAGTCTTTCATCTTACATTTAAGTCATTAATCTATCTTGAGTTGACTTTGTATGTTTTGTGAGGCAAATGTCCACTTCCATTCTTCTGCATGTCTCCCAATCCCATTTATTAAAGAGACTGTTCCTTCTCCATTGTGTGTTCTTGATACATCCCAAAAATTGTTTGACCCTAAATGCGTGCATTTTTTTTCCTGGGCTATGAATCACTTCCATTGGTCTATGTGTCTGTTTTTATGCAAGTACTGTGTTGTTTTAATTACTGTAACTTTGTAATGTAGTTTGTGTTTAGGTAATGTGATGCTTCCAACTTTGTTCCTTTCCCTCTAGATGGCTTTGGTTATTTGAGATCTTTTGTGGTTCCACATGAATTTTAGGACTGTTTTTTCTATTTCTGTAAAAAAAAATGTCATTGGATTTTTGATAATGGTTGCATTGAATCACTTTGGATAGAATGGACATTTTAACAACATTAATCCTTCTGATCCGTGAACATGGAATATCTTTCGATTTATTTGTTTATTTCTTGAGTTTTTTCATCAATGTTTTATAGCTTTTGCATACAGATCTTTCTACTCCTTGGGTGAATTTATTCCTGCATGTTTTGTTTTCTGTAGTTATTGCAAATGGGCTTATTTTCTTGTAAACTTTTTTGGATAGTTTGTTGTTAATGTATAGAAACTTTGTTGTTGTTGTTGTTGTTGTTGTTTTGATGATACCCATCCTAAGGGGTATGAAATGGCATCTGGTGTAGTTTTAGTTAGTATTTCCCTAATGATTCGTGATGCTGAATATCTTGTCATGCGTATGTTCTTTGGAGAAATGTCTGTTTCAGTACTTTGCCCATTTTTGAATTGAGTTTATTGTGATTGAGTTTTAGGAGTTGTCTGTATATTCTGGATGTTAATCCCTTACAGGTGGTGTGGTTTGAAAACATTTTCTCCCATTCTGTGGGTTGTCTTTTTACTTTGATAATATCGTCTTAAAAGTTCTTTTTCCTTGCCATGTGAAGTAACTGATGTTGTCTTTTGAGTCACAATATTTCAAAATTTTCATAAAGTCTAACTTGTTTATTTTTTCTGTAGTAGCCTGTGCCGTTGTTGTCACATCTAAAGAATCACTGCCAAATCCGATGTTGTGAAGTTTTCCTTTGTGTTTTCTTCTAAGACTTTAATTAAATTTTATTTGTCAATATTTAGGACTGACAAAAGCTTTTTAACATTCCTGGCACCATCTCAGTTATTGATCTACTCCCAAGATGGATCATTTCAATTAAAACATGTAAAGCATGACCTCACCTGAATGTGTTTGAACTTGCTCTTCTCCCTTTCAAATCGACTCCCTCACTTACATAGTTTGTGTTCAAATGTCAACAAATAAAACATAAAAAGAAATCAATCTTTTCATAGACCCTTTATCTAAAATAGAATAGTAGGTGCCATGACATTTCATCCTTTCATCTTGAATTATTTACTTTTCTACATGAACCAATCCATTCTTCTGTGTGCATGTGTGTGTGTGTGTGTGTGTGTAGTTTATCTGTCTACATATAATGTAAACACCAAAAAATAACAGACATTTAGTAATTTTCAAATGAGACTTCAGGAATTAACAATGGCTTGCCATTTTTAGTGTGTTATTATTATTATATTTAGATGAACAGAATTGCCTCAGGAACATGGCCAGGGGCTCATAGTCCAGGAGAACTGTGGCCTGACTCAGGTACATTTTACCTGCAATAACAGCAATTGCAGGTCACTGGAGTCCATCACAATTGGCTGGAGACAAATGTAAGACAAGAATATTTGCAGTTTCCCCAGACTGACACAGTTGCAGGTTCCCCGAAGTAATGAGTCCTGAGACACCTCCAACAAGAGCTAGAAAAGGTATCACTTCAAGAGGAGTTGCAGCCTACTCATTTTAGACAAATGGAGCAAAATTACAGTATCACATCTTTTCCTTTCTCCTTCATAGAATCTGGATGAACAGAACAGAAAGAGTTAATAGAATATAAGATTCCAATTCTCTGGCATGAGAAAATAGACAAGGAAAGGAAGATTCATCTTCATCACATCTCAGACATGCTTGGACACAGGGTCCAAGCACAAAAGAGAAACACATACTTCTTCCCATCCACACTGGGATCCAGGGTCTTCTCCCTCCTGTCAGGCCAGAACTGAGTCTCCACTCCCCAATTTAGTTCCCAGAGATGAAGCCCAATTTTCCTCTGTCTCAAGCTTTGAAGGCCAGCTTTAGCGTGTTCACCATGGATGAATGAAGGTGAGGTCAGAGGTTTGGGAAATGGTCAAGAATGAGGTGAGAAGAGAGCTGTGGAGGCATGGCCCCGGGGAGCTTGGTACCCCCCCATATCCAGAGCCTGTCTGGTCCAGGAGAGTTCCCAACCCTGTGAGCACCAACTCCGGATATTCTGGGCAGTGACCCGAGGGACAGCCTCTTATGAATACAGGCTGTTTTCCTCCAGTGTCTGCTGTGAAACCAGGATGTACAACATGGCCGTGTTCAACCCAACAATGGACTTAGGATTTTGCTGTACGCCAAAACTCAGTGTCCAACTTCCACTCTGTTTAGCTGGAAAAAGAAGGGGTTTGTTCCCATACATCTCACTCCTGTGTTCCTCTTTCAGTCTCAAAGCTCAGATGAAAACAATGAGTGTCACTTATTGTCAATCCTCTTCCCTGCCTTTTCCACACTCATCAGTATTACCGTTTACATTGAGACTAAAGATGGCCAATCACCACTTTTCTTCGGAAAAATCAACCTGATGTTGTACCTACTTTTTTAGAGGTGGAATCAACCTACCCTAAGATGCCAACTACATTTTACTGAATGGACTTTTGTGGATCCCCTCGATGTATATAGTGGCACCTTGAGGTATCATCCCTGTCTTTAGCAAATGAATATTATCCCAAGGACAATATTTCATCACAATTATTCGGGATGGACGAGTGGATATTGTGGTAGCAAGAACATTACTAAAAGTCACAGCTGATACAACACACTTGAAACCCATCTGGCCAATCTCCCACAGACAGAATGTCGCGCCATTCACTCCAGCCAGCTTCAGTCATGTTTCTTCCATTTCCACCTGTGGCCCCTCATGTCTCCACCAGGTCTTAGCCAGCATTGCCAAAAGAGCCAGGAAGACCAGACCAGCCACAACAATCCTGATGGAACTCTCCACAGTATAGTTCTGGAGAACAGGGGCTGGAGGGTGGGGGTAAGATCAGAGACCTTTCCATGTGGGCCAGGCCCCTCTCTCCCCAGAAGCTCTGAAATGGAGCTATTTCCCCATCTCACCTTCATAAAATTCTTCCTGTCCAGAACCCCTCTTCTCCCTATATCATCATGAGCACCTTCAGAAGTCTTTTGCCACAAAAAGAAATTTCTTTTGAAGATATACATTTTTTTGTACATTTCAAAAATGTTCCCAAACTAATTCTCCAAAGCAATAAATGTTTGTGTGTATTGCTGGGTAGGTTATGCATACAAGGAAAGGAAGCATAGTGAGTCTGATTTGGCAGAGGAAACATATGTGGAAATTATATCATTTACTCTCTTTACAAAATTAAGTACAAAATTGAAAACACTGGTAAGAAAGAATGAGCTATAGAGAAAGAAAACATCTGAGATGCTTGTTTCCAAGATGGCTGACTAAATGCTTTTCTGGCATGTCTCATCCACTTAGAAGAACGAGCAGAATCCAGAACAAAAACCATATGATCATCTCAATAGACATAAAGAAAAGCATCTGAAAAGAAATTCAACATCCTTACCTGATGAAAACCCTCAAAAACTTAGGCATAGAAAGAACATACCTCAAAATAATAAAAGCCATAGATGACATATCTAGAGTCAACATCATACTGAACAGGAAAAGTTAAAAGCACTCCTCTGAGAACTGGCACAAGACAAGGACACGGACATCCACCACTTCCTATCAACATAGTACTGGAAGCCTTGTCAGAGCTATTGGGCAACAGGAAGAATTAAAAATCCAAATTAGAAAAGAGGAAGTAAAATTATTTTTATTTCTGATGCTATGATCTTAAATCTAGAAAATCCTAAAGACCCTGCCAAAAATTCTTATGATTGATAAATGAACTAAGTAAAGTTTCAGAATACAAAATCAATATGTAAAAGCCGGTAGCATTTCTCTACACCTATAATGATCTAGCTGAGAACCAAATCAAGAAGGCAATGCCGTTTACAATAGATACGCAAAATTAAAACACTCAGGAATACATTTAACCAAGGTGGTGAAAGAGCTGTACCAGGAAAGGTGTAAGACACCAATGAAAGCAATTATAGATAATACAAAAAAAAAAAAAGAAAAAAAATCCCACGCTCATGGATCATAAGAATTAATATTGTTAAAATGACCATACTGCCTAAAGCAATCTACAGATTCAGTGCAATTCTTATATGAAAATAGTAACACCAGCTTTCACAGAATTAGAAAAAGCAATCCTAAAATTCATACAGAACCAAAAAAGATCCTAATAGAGAAAGCAATTCTAGGTGAATGTAGAAACCTGGAGGCATCACGCTATCTGACTTCAAACTATGCTCTAAGGCTATAGTAACTTAAATAGCACAGTGCTGGTATAGACACAGAAACAGAGATCAATAGACCAGAATAGAGAGCCCAGAAATACAGCCTCATATCTACAGTGAATAATCATTGACGACGTTAACAAAACATACACTGGAGAAAGATTTCCTTTTCAATAAAAGGTGCTGGGAAAACTAAATAGCCATATGCAGAAGAATAAAACTGGACCTGTATCTGTAATCATACACATAAATTAACTTAAGGTAATTAGCAGCTTAAATGTAAATCCAGAACTATAAAATCACCGGTGGAAACCCAAAGAGAAACTCTTCTGGGCATTGGTCTGGGCAAAGAATTCATCACTAAGACCTCAAAAGCACAGGCAATAAAAATAAAACTAGACCAATGGGACTTAATAAACGAAAGAGCTTCTGCCAAGCAAAGGAAATAGTAGCAGGGTGAACAGACAACCCACAGAATGAATGGAAATGTTTGCAAACTATGCACCCAACAGAGGACTAACATCCAGAATTTCTAGGCAACTCAAACAACTAAACATAACCCCTCAAATAATAGCATTAAAAAGTGGGCAAAGGGATATACATAGACATTTTTCAAAAGAAGACATACGAATGGCCAAACAGCGTATGAACATCACTAATCATCAGAGAAATGCAAATTGAAACCACAATGAGATATCATCTTACAGTAGTCAGAATGGCTATTACTAAAAATGCTGGTGGGGAGTGGTGGCTCACGCTTGTAATCCCAGCACTTTGGGAAGCTGAGGCGGGTGGATCATGAGGTCAGGAGTTTGAGACCAGCCTGACCAACATAGTGAAACCCCATCTCTACTAAATATACAAAAGATTAGCTGGGCATGGTGGTGTGGTTCTGTAATCCCAGCTACTCAGGAGGCTGAGGCAGGAGAATCATTTGAACCTGGTTGGTGGAGGTTGCAGCGCGTGGAGATGGCGGCACTGCACTCCAGCCTGGGTGACAGTGGAAGACTCCATCTCAAAAAGAAAAAAAGAAAAAGTGAAACATATAACAGGTGTTGGCAAGGATGCAGAGAAAAGGAAACTCTTATACACTGTTGGCCGGTATGTAAATTAGTATAGCCTCTATGGAAGACAGTATGGAAATTTGGCAGAGAACCAAAAATAGAAGCACCATTCGATCTAGGGGTCCCGCTGCTGGGTATCTACTCAAAAAATACCTGCACCTGTATGTTTATTGCAGCACTGTTTGCAATAGCAAAGATATGAAATCAATCTAAGTGTCTGTGAATGAATGATTGGATTAAAAAAAGGATGCGTGTATACACAACGAAATACTATTTGGTCATAAAAATAAAACCATGTCTTTTGCAGCAACATAGATGGAGCTGGACGCCATTATTTTACATAAAACCACTCAGAAAGACAAATACCACATCTTCTCACTCTACATGGGAGGGGAGTAATGTGTACATATGGACGTAGAGTGTGGAATGACGGACAGCGGAGGCTAGAAGGCTGGAGGGTGGCGGGACGTGGGTGAGTGATGAGAATTTGCTTAATGAGTACAATGTACGGTATTTGGGTGATGGATATAGTAAAAGTCCTGACTTCACTACTCTGCAACATACTCATGTCACAAAATTACAAGTGTACCTCATAAATTTATACTAATAGAAAAGAAAGTCTGTACACAGTAATCAATTGTGATATGTAGATAAAGTCAATATTAAATTTAAACCAGAATAACTAGTTAAAATGTTGTGTACACAACAGTGAAGAGAGTATTTATCCTCTATGACAGAGGAAACCATCAATATTAATGCACAGAAAAAGCAAATAACTGAAACAAGAAAGAGCAGTTTTGTGACAGGGTAAAAATTGACAACAGTTTTAGAATGCTCCTAACTTGAGTTCCAAAAAGAAAGAACGAGAAAACAGGTCAGAAGCAATCTTTAAAGAGGCAATTGTTGATTATTTGGAGGAAGTAGACACATCCATCAATCCACAGGTTCAAGAAATCCAGTGAATGCCAGGCAGAATGAAGTAAACACACCTCACGTTCAACATTACAGAAAAGCAGCATAAAAGCACAACCAACCCTTAAAATTAGCCAGAGGAAAAGGATCAGCTGGTAAGGATTTATAGGGAGCCAAGCATTGTCTTCCCCACAGAAAAAAGGAAAACATAAGCCAGTAGAATAGCATCTTTACCCAGCTAAGATACCGTCGCCAGCCACCGACAATTCCTTACATAGTACAGTTACTGTCCAAGATCAACGCAGGAAAGAAACAGAACTGAAAGACAAAAGGGCAAAGAAAGCTTTTCTCACTGACCCTAAAGGAAATTCTGATGACCGTGCCTCAAAGATAAAGAAAGTGAAACCAGATGGGGTGTCGAAGATTCTGACAATAACTAAGAGCAGAGGAAGAACTAAAAATATGGCTATGCCAAAAATGAATATGGACCATACGATAGTGTATGAAAACACGCCCCTGTGTAATTTCTGAAAAAGATAGAATTATGTATACCACAAAACAAAACATCATATAAGTAAATACAAACATATGTACTAAATATGCTCTAAAATCCTGTTCTTACACAGGAAGAGTGGAAATATGTTTTTATATTTGCAGTTTAATCTCTGAAATGATTAATTTCAATTTTAAAAATATGTAACAACTTCAGGATGAGTACACCATATATGTATTCCTAAACGACATAGATCAAAAATAGAATGTTTGAAATAGAAAACCACAGAAGTCAGTGGGAAAAAAAGGGAATCAGGAAAACACAACGTAATAATAACAAAAATATGATTGGAAGAACTGCTCAAACATGAACAAAAGATTGTCAGAAAGTCTTACTTTCTAAGGCGAATTGTTTGAAATTTACAAAGGACACATCTCAATGTTAACAATTCATGGAGTTTGAAATTAAACAATGTAGAAATATACCAAGCAATCACTGTTAGAAATGTGGTATAACTATATTAAAATTAGACAAAATTAGTCTTTGGGAAAAATCAGCGGAAAACATTAAGCATAAAATGTAGGAAAAAAGCAGGTAAATTTATAGCATTTTAAATTTACCAGGAATATATAATCAGTTTACACTTAACCACTCCCAGTAATATTCCTGCAAATATACATGGAGGAAGAGTCGCGGAAATAAATGGACAGGTAGGCAAATCCACGGCCACAGTGGGGTGTTTAACACTCCTCTTTTCTCAGTTGTTGATAGAAGTGGTTCAGGCAATTAGAGAGGATTTAGAAAGATAATTGCTGGACCTGACCCAAGGTATAAGTCCACTCCCAACCACAGGACTCACTTTCCTTACAAGCACAAGGGCATTTAGAAATCTCTCTGGATTCTGACCAGCCCTCACCATATGGCAGGTCCATGGACTTCTTGGAACACACCAAGCTCATTCTCACATTAGGGTCATCCCCAATGTCCTAAGTCCATGAAAGTTCCTTTCAACACACTCCCCAGGGCTCACTCCCTCTTGTCTCTAAGATCGGAGTTTAAATGTGATCTCTCTGATGAGGTCTCAGTGAGACATTCCCTCCTGTACACTCCAAATGACAACGTTCCACGTTCATTCATTTCATTCTGTGCATGGCACTTTCACCAAGTGCTAAGGATTCACTCACTAATTCATACATTCATTCATTCATTCATTCACTCATTCCATCATTCACTCATTCATTCATTCTCTCATTCATTCATTCATGTTCTGCCTCTCTCTCCCACCCCACAGCAATGTGAGCATCATGAACCCAGGAGCTTGGCCGTGCTGTCTACTCCTGGCCATGAAACAGAGAGAACTGATGGTAGGTGTGAAATAAATATTAGATGAATGAGTTAGTGAAGGGGTCATTTACTGGGTGAGCTCAGTTCTCTCTACTCTAATGCCCTCCCTCGGCTGACTTCCCTGAGTTGCCCCCTCGGCTGAGTGAAGTCCCTTCACTGGCAAATGGAACCTCAACCAGTAGCACCTAGGTGGTCTCATACTTTGTTCTTTCCCTCTCCTCTTGCTCCCTAAGGATTATCAATCTCCATGACAGGGCTGGAGAGCAGACAAGCCACACATTCTTTCTGGGGAGAGAGTAACATGGAGTACAAGGCATTCCACATTTAGGAAGAGAACTCAGTTATGGAAGGTCAGAAATGAAAAGTTCCTACAGACCAACACCCAGGTTGGTGGCCACAGCCCTAAATGCTGATGGAGAATCACTGCAAGTCTGTAGGGAAGATGTCTGGCTTGAGGCCACTGAGCGAAGTGGCAGATCCTTCTCAGCCTTCAGTGCTGAGCCTCTGTCCCCTCAGGGATCCACTGACCAATGAGAAGAGCCTCTTCTCATCTCCTGGGATGGAGCTTGGGGCCCCTGGCGAAGGAATGGGCCTGTTTCCACCTGTCATGTTGTCATCTAGCTTGGAAATCCTGCGAGTCCCAGGGAGGCCCTCCCCGAGTCCCCAGAGAAGACTCCCCCACTGAGTCTCCAAGGTGTGGAGAGAGCAAAAAACATCTAGGGTGGAAAATGCCTCCCATCAAGAGACATTGGGGCTCCCCCAACGATGGTTGCATCTGTGCCCCCCATGTGGAAATCACTCTTTGGTGAGAGGTGGGGGCTTCTGGAAATGGGCAATGGCGGGCGGCCAATGCTACCTCTAGTCTTTCCAATCTGAGCCCGGCCTTTCATGCTCCTGAGTCAGCATTGATGCTGTTTACATGTGTCCCAGGTGGGCTTCTGTACAAAGACTGGGAAGTGGTTTATGTGGCCTGTGCTCTATCTGCAAGCTTCAGGTAGGGTTGCAGTTACCACCCCAAACCCTAATGTGATCTGTCTGCCTCGCTCTGTCTGTCTGTCTATGCCTCTTTCTGTATGTTTGCTTTGTGTCTCTTCTGTCCAGCATCTCTGGCTGACACCCCCATGGCCACCCCCTCCATCTGAGGCTCCCCTGAATGTGGCCATTGTAGTCCATCTGAGTCCCACTATTTGGGGAACAGACTGGTTTCCTCACCTGTGACAGAAACAAGCAGTGGGTCACTAAGGTCTGACCACTCGTAGGGAGAGTCACGGAAAGAGCCGAAGCATCTGTAGGTCCCTCCGTGGGTGGCAGGGCCCAGAGGAAAGTTGGCCTGGAAGGTTCCATTGACCTTGGGCACTGCAGGGAACCTAAGTTCATGAGCCTCCCCCTCCCTTGATAGATGGTAGATGTCATAGGAGCTCCGGGAGCTGCAGGACAAGGTCACGCTCTCTCCTGCCTTAACCATGGGGCGCGGCTGGGCTGAGAGAGAAGGTTTCCCACATAGACCTGGAAGGAGAAGAGGCAGTTTCCTCAGGGAGGTTCTTCCTTGTCACAACTCCCCTCCCACCTGAGCTGAGAACTCACTCCCCTGCTCTATGGCCTAATGCTCTCTCTCTCTGTCTCACCCTCCACACCATCTCTCTTTATGTCTATTTCCTCTTTCCACCTTCTCTGTCTCTCTAGGTCTCTGACCTCACTTTCTCACCTCTAGATATGTTTTCCCTTTTTGGATTGTTTTATTCTCTCTGACTCTCCTTGGACTAGTTGACTTGATGTTACTTTTTTTAAATTCTGAGTTTCTCACTTTGTGTCCTGTTCATAACTTTCTGCATATTTCTATCTATTATCTATCGATATATCTATTTATCTATTTGGTGCCTATCTACAAATTCTCTACCTGTCATCTATATCTATATATAATCTATTTATCTATCAATTGTCTATCCAAAAATCATCTATTATCTATATCTATGTATCGTCTCTCTCTCTCTATGATTTCTCTTTGTCTGCCTCTCTATCTCTATGTATTATCTATCTTCATCTTCATCATCTCTATGTATCATCGATTAATCAATGAATGAATCAATCATCATCTATGTATCTATAACCTATTATCTATCATCTACCTATTTATCATCTATCTATATCTATCCATCTATCATCTGTCTTGCTCTGCCTCTCGGTCTCTCTAGTTCTCTTTGGAATCTCTGCAATTCATCCCCACATCTCCATCTTTCTATGTCCTTGTGTCTCTCCCTCAGGACTCTAATTTTAGTGCTTTTCTCTGTTCCCTTCCATTGTTCTCTCCACTTCTCTGCCCTCTTTTCTCCCTCTTTATGTGTCTGTGAGTCTCTCAATCTCCTTCCTCTGGCTCATTCTCTGTGTGTTTATGTCTTTGCTTTTTGGTGTCCCTGATTTCTCTCTGTGTCTCTCAGTGATCCTCTCATATGTGGGGTTATTTGGAATGTGAGCCTCAGAATCCAGTCTGGGGACCGCAAGTTCACACAGTATACAGGGGTTGATGTTCTGGGGCCATGATATCCTGGGACAATTACTCTCCATTGCATGGAAGGCAGAGGTGTCAGAATAAACACGGCATCTGTAGGTGCCAGAAGGCCTGAGGCCACAGGGCCCAACTCAGGCCAGAAATATGGGTGTCCTTGGGTTCTTCTGGTAGAGAACACTTTGTGGAAGTAAAACAGAAATGAAACTTCTAACCTGTGCCAGGTCTCTGAGCAAAGTCAGCATGGAAGGACACCTCTCTCTGGCACATGTCTGTCTGTGTCTCCTTTAACTCTTTCTGTCTTTTCTAACTCCCTGTATGGCCCCTGTGTCTGTCCTCTGTTATGACACCTGGTCTGTACTTGTGTCTCCTGTTTCTCTGTCTCTGTTGGTACAGACCTCACCAAGTTAGTCTCTCTCCATAAGAATACCAAGCTCATCTTCCTTATAACCACCTGGGCCTCCAAGTCGTGGATCATTCACTCTGTGTCCCAGTGACAATGAGAATAATGTCCAGACACTCTCACCTGTAATCACGATGTCCAGAGGGTCACTGGGAGCTGACAACTGATAGGGGGAATGAGGAACAGAACCGTAGCATCTGTAGGTCCCTGCAAGGTCTTGCGTCATGCGACCGATGGAGAAGTTGGCCTTGGAGACCCCATCATGGAGCTCTCCAGTGAGGCGCAAAGTGTCATTAAACTTCCCCTCTCTGTGCAGAAGGAAGTGCTCAAACATGACATCTGACCAACATTGCAGGATGACTGTCTCTTCTGATTTCACCAGGGGACCTGGGTGGGCCAGGAGGGAAGGTTTTCTGTGGACTCCTAGGAAGAGAAGTTGTGACTTTAGAAGGCATCTCTCTTTATCATCCCATCCATGGCACCTAGAATGAGTGAGGCTTCCCCTCGCTGGTGTCTTATCTCTCTCCTTCCTCTCTGTGTCTTCATGTTCTTTTCTGTGCCCATAACTCCTGGTACAGGTCCTTCCATCTGTCTCCCTCCCTCTTCTCTGTCCCTCTGTCTCTAGTAGCTCCTGATTCCCTTGACGCTGGGCTCAGCCTCATCTCTTGGGCTGTTGTATCTATTTCGAACTAATGTCTTTCCTGCTTCTATGTGGGGGTGGAAGAGGAACCAGGATAGGCTGCACGTCCAGGCTCTTAGCAGACTGGTTCAATCTCTTTTGGACGAATTGGAATCCTTGGCAGAAGGTATGAACTGATCAGTAAGGCAGGCACCAGTGTCCACACACCCTGTTCCTGGTGGGGACTGGGAGCCACTCTTGCCATGCCTGTGCCTTCTCCATGGTGCCAGCTTCCATAGGCTGGCTTCTGGTGCTGGTTTGAGGAGTATCAACCCCTCCCTATGTGGATGGAGCCTGGTGGTGGCATCATCATCCCACCCTTGCTGATCTCGGTGTAGCCAACCTTCTCTTTGTTTGGTTTCTTTAATTAATTAATTAATTTTGGAGTCAGAGTCTCACTCCTTCACCCAGGCTGGAGTGAAGTGGTGTGGTCTAGGCTCACTGCAACCTCTGTCTCCTGGGTTCAAGTGATTCTCCTGCCCTCAACCTCCTGAGTTGCTAGGATTACATGCACCTGCCACCACGCCCGGCTATCCTTGTGTCCTTTCTTATCTTGTCCTTGACCTGGGTTCCAGTGTTGGTTTCCTGTTGGTGCTGTAGAAAATTATCAGAAGCATGGCAGCAGGAGAGAGCACACTGACCCCTTCCGTTTCTGGAGACAGAAATCGGACCCTGTTTTTTGAGGGCTAAAATCAAGGCATCTGCAGGGCTGCGTTCCCTCTGGAGACCCAGGAGAATCAGTTCCTTGACTTTTCCAGCCTCTATAGGCCACCTGCATTCATGGCTCATGGCCTTCCTCCACCTTCAAAGCTGATGGAGACTTCCATTGCACTGCTCTAATCGCCACTCCCCTCTTCCTTCTCCTCTCATGTGCACCCTTGTGATTACACTGAGCCCAGCAGGACAGTCCAGGCTGTCTCCCCATCTCAAGGTCAACTCAACAACCTGAGCTCCATCTTCCCCTTCAGTGCCTTCCCCTATAACATAAATAGTCACAGACTGCAGGGATTAGAATGCAGTCATCATTGGGGACAATTATTCTTTCCACCACAGCACCCATTTCCCTGTATTCAATCCCCTTTTATCCCAAATACAGTTAGGGTCTGGATGATGGGACGCTGGTGGACACTCCCACCAGAAGCTCTGGGACTCAGGAGGTGGGACAAGGAGAATCCCAGACAGGAGCCCTCTGACCTGTGACCATGATCACCAGGGGGTTGCTGGGTGCTGACCACCCAGTGAGGAAGTGTGGGTGTGAACCCCGACATCTGTAGGTCCCTGCATGTGCTGGGGTCACAGGGCCTATGAAAACGGTGTTTCGGAATACTCTGTTGTAGAGCTCAGGGACAGGCATCCCGTCTTCTTTGGACAGACTGAATTCGTTAAACCCAAGACGAGAGCGACACTGAAGAGCCACATGTTCTCCTTCAGACACCACGGGGCTGGGCCAGGCAGAGAGGAAGGGCTTGTCCTGACCACCTGGGGGAGAAGGAGGCGCCACCTTAGAGAGGAGGATGTGGCACTCCCTCCCTCTATTCCTTTCCAGGACTCACCAACACACGCCATGCTGACGACCATGAGCGACATGGTGCTGCCGGTGCAGACAGGCGGCCGCGCCCCAGCTCAGCTCAGCAGCGCACAGGATGTTATTTGGCGCCCTGCCCATGCAGCTTACATGTTGACTACATCATGGGAGGGTGACGTACGCAGGCTCTTTCTACCTTGCATGAGGCCCAGTGGATGCTTGCTCAAGAGCGGAACACGGCTTCCTGGAAATTGTTCTCACTAGAATTGGCACCTCACGTCCTTCACTATGACCAACTCACAACACGTCTCAGATCCAACCTCCCGAACACAAGATGCCTAAAATCTGTGCTAACGTGAAAGACTTTTCATGTATTTTTATCCGAACACGAGATGCCTAAAATCTGTGCTAACATGAAAGACTTTTCATGTATTTTTTTTGTTTTTATCTGAGATTCAAACTCTTCTTCCTGTGTAATATGCAAAGTATCTAATAGGTATTATTAATGTTTTCGGAGTCATTGTGACTAATAAACCATTAGAATTTTTCATGCTTGTATTTCTAGTATTACAGCAGAACCAGCTAAAATGATTTAAATTCCCAGGGAAGGATTATGCAATTATTTACAATCTTCGAATTGTACTTTATCAGCAAAAACCACACCTGTAAATTCTGGAGTTTTGTAGTTTAATCTAAAATTTGTCTCATGACCCAAGATTCCAGAGTCCCAACTCTGGAGTTTGCTCTCTGTCTGTCTCTCTCCCTCCCTCGTTTTAAATTTTACAGAAATATCCAGTAACATAATGCTATAGAAAATCAAGTTTTCCCCAGCACGTTGGGAAGCCGAGGTGGGCAGATCAACTGAGATAAGGAGTTTGAGAGCAGCCTGGCCAATATAGTGAAACCGTGTCTCTGTTAAAAATCCAAAAATTAGCCGTGCCTGGTGGCAGGCACCTGTAACGCCAGCTACTCAAGAGGCTGAGGCACGAGAATCGCTTGAACCTGGGAGGCGGAGGTTGCAGTGAGCTGAGATTGTGTCACTGCAGTCCAGCCTGGGCGACAGAGCAAGACTCCGCCTCAAGAAAAAAAAAGCAAACAGCCTATAATAACAAATTAGAGGGCTCTGGCTACTAAATTTAAAGGGTTCTATAAGGCTACATAAAGTGCAGCATCATCAAGAGTGTGGACACAGAGAGCCCCTTAGCAGAAACAGTGTCTAAAATACATCCATGTACACACAGTCCCTTTAGAGTTGACAAAGGCTGCCGTGTGGTTTAAGGTGGCATAGAATGTCTTCTCAATAAATAATATTAAACCAATTGGTTACACCTAGGAAAAAATAAATCTAACTCACACTATAAAAACACTTCTTAGTTTTTATCTAGTTGTACATTTTTTATGATTTATATTTAAATTTGAGAAATAAAAGTCATATACGGTCATCCTTCACTATTCGTGGGTGATTGGTTTTGAGATCTCCACTCAGATACCAAAATCTGTAGATGCTCAAGCCTCTTATATGAAATGGCACAGCGTTTGCAAATAACCTATGCACATCCTCCTGTATACATGAAATCATCTCTAGATTACTTATAATTCCTGATACAGCCTACACACAGCTTCATTTGTGTCCATTCAACATAGTTATGCTTTTTGAAACTCTGTGGATACTTTCTCTCAATATTTTTGATTTATACTTGGTTCAATAAACACCTGTAAACCCCGCAGATATGGAGGAGTGACCGTATATTTATATTATGAAAGATGATGTGTTGATATGTGTCCCCATGGAGATGAGACTAACAAGGCCTATGATTCTACAAATGTTTCATTGTGGAATGACTCTGCCAGCTTTCCAGGTCTGCAGAGAGTAAGAGTATCACTTGTTCATATGATTCGTGATCCTTGGAACCTCCTATGTGCTACATCTTTGGATGGAAATTGGAGTCCCAGAGACAAATGAGGCTCCACCCTGCTTCCAGAAACTCAGAGTCCGGGGATGAGAACTCAGTGGGGAACAGATGGGATTATATGGACATGGTACTGATAACACCGGAAGCCTTAGGCAAGAAAAGAGTCCCATTACCGAAACCATGGGGGCAGACATGTTTATTTGAAGGATGGAAAACTACATTGAAGTTATTTTAAAAAATATATAAGTTTTACTGCTGACAGAAGACTGAAAGCTAGTCTGAGGGGAGGTGGAACAGCATGAGGGAAGGTGGAACAACACGTGTCTAAGTGCTGCGTTAAGAGGGAGCCTCTTGTATGTTTGGAATTGTGAGTTCCTCAGTGTGATTGCAGCCTCAAGTAGACTAGGAAGTAAGCCAGTTAGGTTGGAGAGGTGGGCAGGGGTCAAGTGAAATGGAGAACTGTGGGCTAAGCAAAGGAGTGTGTTTTTTCTCCAGCAGGCAGTGGGGACCTTAGACATTTGTAAGCAAGTGAGAGGCACATTCAGATTTGTGGTGTGAGGAAGAGCGATGCCCTAAGATGCAGACTCATGCCTTCAGATTCCAGCTGCTGGTACATGGGAGCTGGCAACCCGGTTTTGAGACAGGGCTGTTGTCTCCCTAGAAGACGCCCTCAAGGCCTGACTGTGGTGCTCATGGGCAGGAGACAACTTTGGATCTGGACTCAGCATTTGGAAGTTCCGTGTACACGATGATATCTGTTGGGGGTGTCTTGGGCCTCTGAGAAGGGCGAGTGATTTTTCTCTGTGTGAAAACGCAGTGATTCAACTGTGTGTATGTCACCTCCTGAGGGTCTTGTTCATCAGAGTCCTGGAGAGAGGGAAATGCTGAGTGAGGGAGGGTGCTCACATTTTCCAGGACTCTTTGGGAATAACAGTAGCCACGAGCCCGGGCCGAGGAGTACCTACCTCGCTATTCGCTGTTCTGTTTCCTGCAGACTCTTGGTCCATTACCGCAGCATCTGTAGAAGACGGAAGTCAACAAAACAGCTCGGAGGGCACTTCTGGGTCCTCATTTCATAAGCAGATACCAACATACAGGGGGAGACCATAGGTGGCTGAGGTCCCTCAGTTGCCAACAGCAGACTCAGACATTCTATCTCTCTGAGCTCAAGGACCCATCCCATGAATAGCTCTGAGTTCCCATCCCATTGATTCTGTCTCCCACTTTCTGCCTGTCATGGAACCTTCTCCTGGATGTGAGTGGCTGCAGTGGACATGAGGATACAGTTCAGAATCAGGCAACGGTCTGTGAGTTGAAGGCAGGGACAGGGAGTCTGGTGCCCTCTCTAGAAAGTCCTGCCTCTGTGGCTGCTGCCTTGGGCCAGGGACCATCCTGTTTGTGAGGAACACACACCTGAGTGCTCCCATCCTGCTTCCCCACATGGCCCTGAGCTCTCTGGCCTCTGCTTCGTGAGACTTACTTTTTTTGTTGGAGCACCAGCAATGAAGGAGAAAGAAGAGGAGGATGAAGAGGATGATGACCACTGAGGTCCCAATCAGAATGTGCAGGTGTCGGGGGTTACCTGGAAGAAGATGAGACACCAATAAGAAGCTAATCTTAGCAGTTCCTCTTTATGAATTGTCTCGCATTTCTTGATTGACAGGTAACCACATAAAACACCTCTTTAGGACAAGCACCCAGATAGCAGGAGACCCAGCTTTCTCCTGCTTTTTCAGTTATAGCTCTCATAGTAACCATAGAACGTGCTGAGGATACGACTACTTTAGTTGAGATGTTTGACCCCTTCAAACCTCACATTGAAATTTCACCCCCACTGTGGGAGGTTGGGCCTCTTGAGAGGTGTTTGGGTCATGGAGGTGGATCCATCATGAACACATCAATGCTGTCCCAAGGAGACGGGGTTAGCAAGTTCCCCCTCTATTAGTTCCCGGAGAGCTGGTTGTTAAAAAGAGCTTGGAAGCTCCATCACTCCCCCTCCCCCTTGCTCCCTCTCTTGCCGTGTGATCTCTGTGGTCTCTGCACAGACAGACCCTCCTTCCCTTCTGCCAGAGTGGGAGCAGCCTGAGGCCGTCACGAGAAATAGATGCTGGTGCCATGCTTCCAGTACAGCCTGCAGAACGGTGAGACAAACCAATCTCTTTTCTTTAGAAGTTACCGAGGCTCAAGTGTTCCTTTAGAGCAACAAAAATGGCCTAAGACAGCAACTTCCTGAGATCAGGAGGAACGTCTCAGAACAGCCTGGGCTGTCTTCCTGTTCTTCCTGGAGGAGGACGTCATGCAGTGCTTTAGCTGAGTGCTTCCTGTGGCTCCAGGGTACAAAACCCAGGCTGGGCTGCTTTCTGGCTTCCCGCAGCTACACTGCAAATGGGGTGACTCCATATGTCCCGAGGAGCTTTTCTGAGCCTTGAGGGACTGGGTCACATTGAAATATAGGTTTCTGTTGTCACTCGCTGCTTATCTGTTAGTAATGAACCTGCCTATGTAACGTATTCTCTGTGTGTTCTGTCTCCCTGGAGTGACGGTGAGTGATAGGAATTGGCATAGGCCCAGGTGCAGTCCAGGAGGTGTTTAGAGTCTTCTCTGGGAAGACTGGACTGGGATTGATTCACAGCGAATGTGCTTTAGGGTTTCTACATCCACAGCATTCTTGAATCAAACAACTTGCATTCTCCAAGGAAAGAAAACAAAAGTGAAATCAAGATAAAAAAAGCGAAATAGAATTCTCTTATGTCAAACGGCCAGGAAATAGTGTTGAAGCCCGTGTGAAACCTGCTGCTCTTTGTGATCTCGGGAGACACATATTAGGCTGCTGTTCTACCCGAGAGGCTGGGGGAAGGACCACCCCCTCGGCCATCTATTGCTTCAAAACCACCTGTCCTCCTGTGAATTAGTAGGAAAGGGGAGCAGGAGCTAGTGCTGTCGCTGATCTCTGATTCCAAGATCTGGACTCACTCCAAGGAGTGTTAATGTTTACCTCCCCATGGTCTATCTGAATCTCCACAGGTGATTGGAAGTAGGGGTGAGGTGGGGGATTTGGGTGAGTGGGCAAGTTTTTTTTGTGATGACCAGAGCACTTTCTCTATTCCAGGATCTGTGCTGGAGGATTCAGCGGGCTTTCACATTTTCTATGTGATCTCATGCTCACAGAAAGCCAAATAGGGAAGAGGTTTTAGGCTCATTGCCTAATGGATAAGATAAAGGATCAAAGAAGTAATTATAGAGAAATAGAAAAATCATGATTGGAATTCAGGTCCCTTTGTCATTTGCGTGTGTTATATTATATTTATATTTATGCATTTCTTATTTTTATTTTTTGAGACGGAGTCTCCTTGTGCCACCCAGGCTGGAGTGCAGTGATGCAACCTCCACTCACTGCAACCTCCACCTCCTGGGTTGAAGTCATTCTCCTGCTTCATCCTCCAGAGTAGGAGCTGGGATTACAGGGATGCACCACCATGCTCGGCTAATTTTTGTGTTTTTCCTAGAGACAGGGTTTCACCATGTTGGCCAGGCTGGTCTCGAACTGCTGACTTCATGTGATCCACCCGCCTTGGCCTCCTGCAGTGCTGGGTTACAGGCGTGAGCCACCGTTCACAGACTTGTATATTATGCTATAATAGGTCCCTTCATTTCCACCACCCCTCATATATCTGTCACTCCTTTGCCAGGTATTGATTTATGTGTAGGATGAATAAATCTCAGAAAGAAATTAATTAAGCGAGGATTAAACAAGTAGGAAAATCAAACCCAGTAAGCGTTTCCAGTCAATGATTCTACCTCACAAACATATCTTATATCCATCTACTTCATTCATTTAGTGTCTAAATCAGCACCACATTTCACCAGTGGGTCGGCAATTGCCTTTTCCACGGTCTCCTAGATTCCAGTTATGCAACTGAGCCTCCCTTATTTTCATGTCAGTCATATTAATCATGTAGGGATTCCTAGTTACCCCGAGGTGAATTCAATGGCTGTGAGTGTCAAACACACACTCCTTGTTGCTCCTTAGTTTCCTGTGTACCCAGTGTGCTCTCCGTCTCTCTACAGTCATCTTGTCATTCTCCCCACATCATTCCCAGCATTTGAGGCAGAGCCTCTTCCTTCCATATCAGATTGTTTTCACCTTTGTGCCTTCACGGCTGACAGCTGTGTGTGCAAAATCCTTCCGCCAATCTTTCAGGGGTTCAATCCGTGTTTTTCATTAATGTCACAAATATCTGAATAGTGAGACCTTCTTTGTCACCTGAAATCATACACTCAGCATTATCTATTATTGATTTTGAATTCTGGCTGGGCACAGTGGCTCACGCCTGTAGTCCCATTACTTTGGCATGCTGAGACGGTCGGATCACTTGAGGTTGGGAGTTTCAGACAAGCTTGGCCAACGTGGTGAAACATCCTCTCTACAAAAAATATACAAAAAGAATTAGCCGGGCACGGTGGCAGTTGCCTGTAATCCCAGCTACTCGAGAGGCGGAGGCAGGAGAATCACTTGAATCCAGGAGACGCAGGTTGCAGTGAGCCAAGATCGTGACACTGCACTGTAGCCTGGAAGACAGAGGGCGACTCTGTCTCAATAAACAAAAGAACAAACAAAAAATAGATTTCACGCACAGATGCTTCCCAATGGATCATTCATTTATAGATCCACTTGTGCATTCATTTTCTGCCCTCCCATTTAACCATCTGCAATATCAGTGTCCCAAGGGCAGAGGCCAAATGCATCTTGTTCACTGTTTGTGGAAGGCAGGAGAATGCTGTCCCACCCCAAAATGTCCCTGTCCTAGCCTCCATAGCTTGTGAATATGTTATTTTACATGGAAAGGAGGAATGAAGATTGCAGATGGAATTATGGTTACTAATCAGCTGAACTTAAAACAAGGGTATCCTGGATGATTTCCAGGAGATTATGAGGGATTTTCATCTTGGTGAACCCAATAGAATCCCCAAGTTTTCAAAAGATGAGGAAGAAGGGAGAGCAGCATTCAGAGAAAGAAGTGTGGTAAGGAAGAAGGCACTGAGTGATGCCATGTGAGATGTGACCAGTCTTTGTGGGCTTTGAGGAAGGAGGAAGGGGACCAGGAGCCAAGGAACTGGGAGCCTTTAGAAGCTGGGACAAGTGAGAAGCAGATTCGTGCCTGGAATCCTCAGAGGGAAGGCAGCCTTGCTGTCACCTTGATTTTAGCCCAGTAAGATGCACTTCCTACTTTGAGCTACAGCACTGTAAGATAATTAAAAAACCGTTTTGTTTTCACCCACGAATCTTGTGGAAATTTGTTATGGCAACAATAGGAAAAGGTTCCGCACTGCACAGCCTGAGCATGGGGCCGTGGCTGAATGAGTCAGTGAGTCGAAGTGTGCGTGCATGAGCTCTGTTCTCTGTTACGGCAAGGCTCTTGCTCTGCTGAGTCAGCCAGGGTTGCTTCATGACCTACAGGAGCTCATTCCTTGGCAAGTGGAACTTCTCTAAAACACCTCGCCCTCATCAGATGTTCCCTTCCCTTCCCTCTCTCAAGTCTCCAGGAATTTATCCTCCAGTTAGGAATGCAGGCAGAACAAACATTGCATTTTTCCTGAGAAGGATGTCAGATTGGCAATCATTCTTCTAGCTTGTAGGAGGTCTCAGCTCCATAAAATGAGAGATGAAGAGATTTCACTGAGCCCTGTGTTGGGCCCAGATCCCTTTCGCTGTAGGAGTATCTGGAGTTCGGAGATGGTGGAAGACAGGTGTACAATGTCAGAGCTGTGAGATGCTGAGTCAACGCCTGAATCCAAGGTTTCCACCTCCCCAGGTTTCCAAAAGCGGATATAAGAGGGTTCTGTACTCACCGGTTTCGGAGCTTGGTTCAGTGGGTGAAGGCCAACTATTTGAAGGGTTTCCTAGAACATGAGACAGGAGAGAGGTGAGGAAATGAGGGTTTCTGTCCTCCACTCAGTGGAAATCTTTGAGGATGGTTCATGGCCAACACTCTGTTATCTAATATTGGGCCCTGGGAGTCCTGGGATCCTTTTTTCCATAATTTTTTTATGTGACACCCACTGTCTTGAGACTTCAAGGTATAAAGAGAAAACAGGAGCATCACACTACCTGATCTCAAAATATGTTACAGAGCTGTAGTAAGCAAAATAGCATGACATTGGCATAAAGAAAGGCACATAGAACAACGGAGCAGAATGAATAACACAGATATATTCCATGCATTTACATCCAATGGTTTTTTATTTTTTCTTTTGAGATGGAGTCTTGCTCTGTCACTCAGGCTGGAGTGCAAAGGTGCAATCTCGGTTCACTGCAACCTCAGCCTCCTGGGTTCAATCATTCTCTTGCCTCAAACTCCTGAGTAGTGGTATTACAGGTGCTGACCACCATGCTCAGCTAATTTTTATATTTTTAGTGGAGATGATGTTTCATCACGTCGGCCAGACTAATCTTGAACTCCTGGCCTCAGGTGATCCACCCACCTTGGGCTCCCAAAGTGCTGAAATTGCAGGTGTTAGCCACCAAGCCCAGCCCATCCAATGGACTTTGACAAAGATGCCAAGAACTCACAATCAGGAAAGGACAGTCTTTTCAATAAACAGTGCAGGGAAACCTGGACATCTACATGCAGAGGAATGAAACTGCACCTCTACCTGTCACCATACACAAAAATCAAATGAAAATGGATTAAAGATGTGAGTCTAAGGCCTGAACCTATGAAACACGTAGAACAAAATATTGGGGAAATGCTCCAGGACACTTGTCTGAAGAAAGACATTTTGTTTTAAACCTTGAAAACACAAGTAATCGAAGCAAAAATAGACCATTGGGATTACCTCATACTAAGCAACTTCTGCACCGCTAAAAATAAACCAACAAAGTGAAGAGACAACCCACAGATTGGGAGCAAATATGTGCAAACTATGCATCTGAGATGGGATTAATAACTAGAAATATAAGAAGCTCAAACAACTCAATAAAACAAATGATTTAATTGAAAAAGGAGCAAAAGACATGAAATTTCCCCACATACGAAAAACTGCTCAGTATCACTCATCATCAGAGAAACGCAAATTAAATTCAAAGTGAGTTTTCATCTCACCCCATTAAAATGGCTTTTAGGCCGGGTGAGGTGGCTCACGTTTGTCATCCTAGAACTTTGAGAGCCTGAGGTGGGTGAATCTCATAAGGTCGGGAGTTTGAGACCAGTATGACCCACATAGAGAAACGCTGTCTCTACTAAAAATACAAAAATTAGTCGGGCGTGGTGGCGTGTGCCTGTAATTCCAGCTACTCGGGAGGCTGAGGCAGGAGAATCGCTTGAACCTGGGAGGTGGAGGTTGTGGTGAGCCGAGATCGCGCCACTGCACTCCAGCCTGGGTGAGAAGAGCAAAACTCCATCTCAAAATAAAATGAAATAAAATAAAATGGCTTTTAGCTGCAAGACAGGCAAAAGAAATGCTGGCAAGGTGGTAGAGAAAGGAGAACCCTGGTACCCTGTTGGGAGGAGTGTAAATTAGTACAGCCATTACGGAGAAAAGTATGGAAGTCCTTTAAAGAACTAAAAAGAGGTTGGGTGCGGTGGATCATGCCTGTAATCCCGGCACTTTGGGAGACTGAGGCGGGCACCTCAGTTGAGGTCATGAGTTTGAGAGCAGCCCAGCCAACATGGGGAAACCCCATCTATACTAAAAAAACCAAAAAGTAGCCAGGGATGGTGGTGTGCACCTGTAATCCCAGCTACTAGGGAGGCTGAGGCAGGAAAATCATTTGAACCCAGGAGGCGTAGGTTGCAATGAGCCAAGGTCGCACCACTTTGACTCCAGCTTGGGCTAAGGAGGGAAACTCTTTCTCAAAAAAGAAAAAAAGAAAAAAAGAGAACTTTCATAGTATCCAGCAATTTCACTACTGGGTTTATATCCAAAGGAAAGTAAATCAATATATCGAAGTGATATCTGCACTCGTATGATTGGTGCAGCACTGTTCACAGTAGCCAAGATGAGGAGTCAACCTACCTGCCCATCAGTGGGTAAATGGATAGAGAGAATGTAGTACATACGCATAGTGGAGACTACTCATCCATAGAAAGAATAACATCCTGTCATTTGCAGCCACATGGATGGAACTGGAGGTCATTACAAAGATTCCCATTTCTCACCCATATACAGGAGCTAAAAGGTGGATCTCATGAAGGTAGAGAGTAGAATGGTGGCTACTGGAGGACAGGAAGAAAAGGGTGGAGGGTAAAAAAAATGTATATATATATATGTATATAAATGTATTTATGACCACTAGACTTTACACTTAAAAATGGTAAATGTGGCTGGGCGCGGTGGCCCATGCCTGTAATCCCAGCACTTTGGGAGGCAGATGCGGGTGGATCACTTGGTCAGGAGTTCGAGACCAGCTCGACCAACATGGTGAAACCACCTCCCTACTAAAAATACAAAAAGTAGCCTGGCGTGGTGGTGCGTGCCTGTAGCACCAGCTACTCAGGTGGCTGAGGCAGGAGAATCGCTTGAACCCAGGAGGTGGAGGTTGCAGTGAGCTGAGATTGTGCCACTGCACTCCAGCATAGGGGACACAGCTAGACTCCACCTCAAAAAAAAATGTTAAAAGTGGTAAGCTATATAGGTATATTTATCCTCAATAAATATTTCTTCAAAGAAAAGTAAAGGGTGTAGGGGTTGCTGGTGATGACATCTCTGTGTGGGTGAGAGGCCAGGATGGGCTTCTGGGAAATGGGTAAGGTTGAGGGGCTGAGGGAACCTCTGATCTCCCCAAACTGAGCCCAGTCTCCCTCCTCTGGGTCTCTCCTGACCGCTTTCTCCATCTGCCTGGGTGCCTGGAGCCCTGGCCGTGGGCCTCCATGCAGGCCATGTAGGAGGGTTTGGAGGTGCCCTGTCGGCCATCCTGTGCCCTGATCCCTCCCTCACACCGAGGCTGCGTCTTCTCTCTGCATCTGTCCATGCTTCTCTCCATCATCAGCAGGAAGCTCCTCAGCTAAGGCTCTAGGATCATAGGACATGGGACAGCCATGGGCTTTCCTCACCTGTGACAGAAACAAGCAGTGGGTCACTTGACTTTGACCACTCGTATGGAGAGTCACGGAAAGAGCCGAAGCATCTGTAGGTCCCTCCATGGGTGGCAGGGCCCAGAGGAAAGTTGGCCTGGAATGTTCCGTTGACCTTGGTCCCTGCAGGGAGCCTACGTTCATGGGCCTCCCCTTCCCTGGATAGATGGTACATGTCATAGGAGCTCCGGGAGCTGCAGGACAAGGTCACATTCTCTCCTGCCAGAACCGTGGGGCCCGGCTGGGCTGAGAGAGAAGGTTTCTCATATAGACCTGGAAGGAGAAGAGGCAGTTTCCTCAGGGAGGATCTTCCTTGTCACAGCTCCCTTCACCTGAGCTGAGAACTCACTCCCCTGTTCTATGACCTAATGCTCTCTCTCTCTCTCTCTCACCCTCTACCCCATCGCTCTTCATGTCTATTTCCTCCTTCCACCTTCTCTGTCTCTCTAGGTCTCTGACCTCACTTCCCCACCTCTAGATATGTTTTCTCTTTTTGGATTGTTTTATTCTCTCTGACTCTCCTTGGATTGGTTGACTTGATGTTACTTTTTTTAATTCTGAGTTTCTCACTTTGTGTCCTGTTCATAACTTTCTGCATATTTCTATCTATTATCTATCGATCTATCTATTTATCTATTCGGTGCCTATCTACAAATTCTCTACCTGTCATCTATATCTATATATCATCTATTTATCCATCAATTGTCTATCTATCCATCAATCATCTATTATCTATATCTATGTATCATCTCTCTCTCTCTATGATTTCTCTATGTCTGCCTCTGTATCTCTATGTATTATCTATCTATGTGTCTTCATCATCATCATCTCTATGTCTCATCTATTAATGAATCAATCAATCATCATCTATGTATCTATAACCTATTATCTATCATCTACCTATTTATCATCTATCTATATCTATCCATCTATCATCTGTCTTGCTCTGCCTCTCGGTCTCTCTAGTTCTCTTTGGAATCTCTGCAATTCATCCCCACATCTCCATCTTTCAATGTCCTTGTGCCTCTCCCTCAGGAGTCTAACTTTAGTGATTTTCTCTGCTCCCTTCCATCATTCTCACTTCTCTGCCCTCTTTTCTCTCTCTTTATGTGTCTGTGAGTCGCTCAATCTCCTTCCTCTGGCTCATTCTCTGTGTGTTTATGTCTTTGCTTTTTGGTGTCCCTGATTTCTCTCTGTGCCTCTCACTGATCCTCTCATAAGTGGGCTTATTTGGAATATGAGCCTCAGAATCCAGTCTGGAGACTACAAGTTCACACAGCATACAGGGGTTGGTGTTGTGGGGCCATGATATCCTGGGACGATTACTCTCCATTACATGGAAGGCAGAGGTGTCAGAATAAACATGGCATCTGTAGGTGCCACAAGGCCTGAGGCCACAGGGCCCAACTCAGGTCAGAAATATGGGTGTCCTTGGGTTCTCCTGGTAGAGAACACTTTGTGGAGGTAAAACAGAAATGAAACTTCTAACCTGTGCCAGGTCTCTGAGCAAAGTCAGCATGGAGGGACACCTCTCTCTGGGACATGTCTGTCTGTGTGTCTCCTTTAACTCTTTCTGTCTTTTCAAACTCCCGGTATGGCCCCTGTGTCTGTTCTCTGTTATGACACCTGGTCTCTACTTGTGTCTCCTGTTTCTCTGTCTCTGTTGGCACAGACCTCACCAAGTCAGTCTCTCTCCATAAGAATACCAAGCTCATCTTCCTTACAGCCACCTGGGCCTCCAAGTCCTGGATCATTCACTCTGCATCCCAATGACAATGAGAAGAAAGTCTGGACACTCTCACCTATGATCACGATGTCCAGAGGGTCACTGGGAGCTGACACCTGATAGGGGGAGTGAGTAACAGAACCGTAGCATCTGTAGGTCCCTGCCAGGTCTTGCGTCATGCGACTGATGGAGAAGTTGGCCTTGGAGACCCCATCATGGTGTTCTCCAATGAGGCGCAAAGTGTCGTTAAACATCCCCTCTCTGTGCAGAAGGAAGTGTTCAAACATGACATCTGACCAACATTGCAGGATGACTGTCTCTTCTGATTTCACCAGGCGACCTGGGTGGGCCAGGAGGGAAGGTTTTCTGTGGACTCCTAGGAAGAGAGGTTGTGAGTTTAGAAGGTGTCTCTCTTTATCATCCCATCCATGGCACCTGGATTGAGTGAGGCTTCCCCTTCCTGGTGTCTTATCTCTCTCCTTCCTCTCTGTGTCTTCATGTTCTTTTCTGTGCCCATAACTCCTGGTGCAGGTCCTTCCATCTGTCTCCCTCACTCTTCTCTGTCCCTCTGTCTCTAGTAGCCTCTGATTCCCTTGCCGCTGGGCTCAGCCTCATCTCTTGGGCTGTTGTATCTATTTCGAACTAATGTCTTTCCTGCTGTCTGTGTGGGGGTGGAAGAGGAACCAGGATAGGCTGCACATCCAGGCTCTTAGCAGCCTGGTTCAATCTCTTTTGGACGAATTGGAATCCTTGGCAGGAGGTATGAACTGATCAGTAAGGCAGGCACCAGTGGCCACACACCCTGTTCCTGGTAGGGACTGGGAGACACTCTTGCCATGCCAGTGCCAGCTTCCATAGCCTGGCTCCTGGTGCTGGTTGGAGGAGTATCAACCGCTCCCTATGTGGATGGAGCCTGGTGGTGGCATCATCATCCGAGCCTTGCTGATCTCAGTGTAGCCAACCTTCTCCTTGTTTGGTTTCTTTAATTAATTAATTAATTTTGGCGACAGAGTCTCACTCCTTTGCCCAGGCTGGAGTGAAGTGGTGTGGTCTAGGCTTACTGCAACCTCTGTCTCCTGGGTTCAAGTGATTCTCCTGCCCTCAGCCTCCCAAGTCGCTAGGATTACATGCACCTGCCACCATGCCTGGCTATCCTTGTGTTGTTTCTTAACCTGTCCTTGACCTGGGTTCCAGTGTTGGTTTCCTGTTGCTGCTGTAGAAAATTATCAGAAGCATGGCAGCAGGAGAGAGCACACTAACCCCTTCCAATTCTGGAGACAGAAATCGGACCCTGTTTGTCGTGGGTAAAATCAAGGTACCTGCAGGGCTTCGTTCCCTCTGGAGACTCAGGAGAATCAGTTCCTTGACTTTTCCAGCCTCTATAGGCCACCTGCATTCATGGCTCCTGGACTTCCTCCACCTTCAAAGCTGATGGAGACTCCCATTATGCTGCTGTAATCCCCACTCCCCTCTTCCTCCTCCTTTCATGTGGACCCCTGTGACTACACTGAGCCCATCAGGACAGTCCAGGCCTTCTCCCCATCTCAAGGTCAACTCATCAACAACCTGAGCTCCATCTTCTCCTTCAGTCCCTTCCCCTATATCATAAATAGTCACAGACTCCAGGGATTAGAATGTAGTCATCACTGGGGACAACACAGTGCTTCCCACCACAGCACCCATTTCCCTGTATTCAATCCCCCTTTACCCCAAATACAGTCAGGACTTGCATGATGGGACCCGCAAGGACACGCCCACCAGGAGCTCTGGGATTCAGGAGGTGGGACAAGGAGAATCCCAGACAGGAGCCCTCTGACCTGTGACCGTGATCTCCAGGGGGTTGCTGGGTGCCGACCACCCACTGGGGTAGTGTGGTTGTGAACCCCGACATGTATAGGTCCCTGCGTGTGCTGGGGTCACAGGGCCCATGAAAAGGCTGTTCCAGAATATTATGTTGTAGAGCTCAGGGACAGGCACCCCATCTTCCTTTTACAGACTGAAGTTGTTAAACCCAAGATAAGAATGACACTGAAGAATCACATGTCCTGGAGGCACCACAGGGCTTGGCCAGGCAGACAGCAAGGGCTTGTCCTGACCACCTTGGGGAGAAGGAGGCACCGCCTTAGAGAGGAGGATGTGGAGCCACCCCTCCCTCCCTGTGCTCTGAAGATTCTCCTCGCTTTCCAAGTTTCTATGGCTGCTATCACACCTTGGTGCCCAGGGCTAAAGGAAGGACCCATCCCGCAAACACAAGGTGTCTCCCTACAACAAAAGTGTCAGCTGAGAACTTTGAGCAAGTGCTGAGTAAGAGACTCCTACTAGATTTTAATACTGTAAGATTACTCACATAAAACAACACAGGGTAGACATGGGGTGGAGGGCATGTCCTTTGAGAATGGAATATCAGCTGATGCCTGAACGAAAATAAACAACTGAGTCCCCATCAGAGGATTGGAATGTCAGGGCCATGGCTGTGGTTTTCCCACCTCTTCTGGTAGAATGACAGCAGCCACACTGCAGCCCCTACCGTCATGGAAACGCTGAAGTGTGTGAGTAACACCTTTGTCCTCAGAGGATCTGCTGTTCCTACCACTTCCCCACCACACACCCCAGCTTTGAGCACCGTAGTCTAACCCTGGTCCCCACAGAACTTGACTCTGCCAAGGGAATGAAAGGCCAGGGAGGCAAGGTCAGAAATGTGGGCCCAGCACCCCAGGGTCCCTTCTTCCTAGTTTATGAGAGACTCCCTGACAGGACTTCCCTCCCATTTCAGGAAAATCCTCTTATGTGGGGAGATGACACCCGAAGGTTTGGAGAAGGACTCACCCTCATGTGGCCAGGCCCCCTGCAGCAAGAAGAACCCTGGAAAGAAAGATCATGATGGATGACCCATCTGCAGGCAAACCAGGGCACCCTTGCTGCCCCCACTGGGCTGTGAGTCTTGGTAGCCAGGCCCTTCCTGGGCTGAAGGTAAACTCACCCTCAGTGCCTACCTGCACCCAAGAACAGGGCTGTCGGCTGTGCAGAGACCCAGCCTCCAGGTCCATATCCCCACCTCAAGCCCATATCTCCACTCCAGGCCCATATCTCCACTCCAGGCCGATATTTCCACCCTAAGCCCATATCGCCAATCCAGGCCCATATCTCCAATCCAGGCTCAGATCTCCACCCTGGGCCCATATCTCCAATCCAGGCCCTTATCTCCACTCCAGGTCCATATCTCCTCTCCAGTCCCATATCTCCACTCCAGGCCCATATATCCTCTCCAGTCCCATATCTCCACACCCAGGCCCGTATCTCCATCCTAGGCACATATCTCCTCTCCAGGCCCAGATATCGACCTCTAGGCCCATATCTCCACTCCTGGCCCATATCTCCACTCCAGGCCCAGATATCGACCTCTAGGCCCATATCTCCACTCCTGGCCCATATCTCCACTCCAGGCCCATGTCTCCACTTCAGGCCCATATCTCTACTGCAGGCCCGTAACTCCACCTCCAGGCCCATGACTCCACTCCAGGCCCATATCTCCACCTCCAGGCCCATATCTCCCCTCCAGGTTCCTATCTCCCCTCCAGGTTCCTATCTCCACTCCAGGCCCAGATCTCCACTACAGTCCCATCACTCCACCTCCAGGCCTATATCTCGACCTCTGGGCCCAGATCTCCACTTCTAGGCCCATCACTCCATCTCTAGGCCCATATATCCACTCCAGGCCCAGATCTCCACTCCAGGCCCATAACTCCACCTCCAGGCCTATATCTCCACCTCTGGGCCCAGATCTCCATCCCCGCGCTCCCTCCCTCTATTGCTTTCCAGGACTCACCAACACACGCCATGCTGACGACCAAGAGCGACATGGTGCTGCCGGAGCAGACAGGCAGCCGCGACCGAGCTCAGCTCAGCAGCGCACAGGATGTTATTTGGCGCCCTGCCCATGCAGTTTACATGTTGACCACATCATGGGAGGGTGACGTACGCAGGCTCTTTCTACCTTGCATGAGGCCCAGTGGGTGCTCGCTCAAGAGCGGAACACGGCTTCCTGGAAATTGTTCTCGCTAGAATTTGACACCTAGTGTCCTTCACTATGACCCAACTCAAAACACGTCTGAGATCCAACCTCCCGAACACGAGATGCCTAAAATCTGTGCTAACATGAAAGACTTTTCATGTATTTCTATTGTTTTTATCTGAGATTCAAACTCTTCTTCCTGTGTAATATGCAAAATATCTAATAGGTATTATTAATGTTTTCAGAGTCATTGTGACTAACAAACCATTAGAATTTTTCATGCTTGTATTTCTAGTATTACAGCAGAACCAGTTAAAATGATTTAAATTCCCAGGGAAGGATTATGCAATTATTTACAATCTTAGAATTGTACTTTATCAGTAAAAACCCCACCTGTAAATTCTGGAGTTTTGTAGTTTAATCTAAAATTTGTCTCATGACCCAAGATTCCAGAGTCCCAACTCTGGAGTTTGTTTTCCGTCTGTCTCTCTCCCTCCCTCATTTTAAATTTTACAGAAATATCCAGTAACATAATGCTATAGAAAATCAAGTTTCCCCAGCACGTTGGGAAGCCGAGGTGGGCGGATCAACTGAGATAAGGAGTTTGAGAGCAGCCTGGCCAATATAGTGAAACCGTGTCTCTGCTAAAAATCCAAAAATTAGCCGTGCCTGGTGGCAGGCACCTGTAACGCCAGCTACTCAAGAGGCTGAGGCACGAGAATCGCTTGAACCTGGGAGGCAGAAGTTGCAGTGAGCTGAGATTGTGTCACTGCAGTCCAGCCTGGGCGACAGAGCAAGACTCCGCCTCAAGAAAAAAAAGCAAATAGCCTATAATAACAAATTAGAGAGCTCTGGCTACTAAATTTAAAGGGTTCTATAAGGCTACATAAAGTGCAGCATCATCAAGAGTGTGGACACAGAGAGCCCCTTAGCAGAAACAGTGTCTAAAGTACATCCATGTACACACAGTCCCTTTAGAGTTGACAAAGGCTGCCGTGTGGTTTAAGGTGGCATAGAATGTCTTCTCAATAAATAATATTAAACCAATGGGTTATACCTAGGAAAAAATAAATCTAACTCACACTATAAAAACACTTCTTAGTTTTTATCTAGTTGTACATTTTTTATGATTTATATTTAAATTTGAGAAATAAAAGTCATATACGGTCATCCTTCACTATTCCTGGGTGATTGGTTTCGAGATCTCCACTCAGATACCAAAATCTGTAGATGCTCAAGCCTCTTAAATGAAATGGCACAGAGTTTGCAAATAACCTATGCACATCCTCCTCTATAGATGAAATCATCTCTAGATTACTTATAATTCCTGATGCAGCCTACACACAGCTTCATTTGTGTCCATTCAACACAGTTCTGCTTTTTGTAACTCTGTGGATACTTTCTCTGAATATTTTTGATTTATACTCGGTTCAATAAAGAACTGTAAACCCCACAGATATGGAGGAGTGACTGTATATTTATAGTGTGAAAGATGATGTGTTGATATGTGTCCCTGTGTAGATGAGACTAACAAGGCCTATGACTCTACAAATGTTTCATCTTGGAATGACTCTGCCAGATTTCC
The DNA here is from genome assembly GCF_000001405.40 of Homo sapiens. NCBI lineage: Eukaryota > Metazoa > Chordata > Mammalia > Primates > Hominidae > Homo > Homo sapiens. The sequence continues at coordinate 69,526 of NW_016107306.1, read as the reverse complement.
AGGTCTGCAGAGAGTAAGAATATCACTTGTTCATGTGATTCACGATCCTTGGAACCTCCTATGTGCTACATCTTTGGATGGAAATAGGAGTCCCAGAGACAAATGAGGCTCCACCCTGCTTCCAGAAACTCAGAGTCCGGGGGTGAGAACCCAGTGGAGAACAGATGGGGTTATGTGGACATGGTAATGATAACACTGGAAGTCTTAGGCAAGAAAAGAGTCCCATTACCGAAACCATGAGGGCAGACATGTTTATTTGAAGGAGGGAAAACTACATTGAAATTATTTTAAAAAATATATAAGTTTTACTGCTGACAGAAGGCTGAAAGATACTCTGAGGGGAGGTGGAACAGCATGAGGGAAGGTGGAACAGGACGTGTCTAAGTGCCGTGTTAAGAGGGAGCCTCTTGTATGTTTGGAACTGTGAGTTCCTCAGTGTGATTGCAGCCTCAAGTAGACTAGGAAGTAAGCCAGTAAGGTTGGAGAGGTGGGCAGGGGTCAAGTGAAATGGAGAATTGTGGGCTAAGCAAAGGAGTGTGTTTTCTCTCCAGCAGGCAGTGGGGACCTTAGACATTTGTAAGCAAGAGAGAGGCACATTCAGATTTGTGGTGTGAGGAAGAGCGATGCCCTAAGATGCAGACTCACGCCTTCAGATTCCAGCTGCTGGTACATGGGAGCTGGCAACCCGGTTTTGAGACAGGGCTATTGTCTCCCTAGAAGATCCCCTCAAGGCCTGACTGTGGTGCTCATGGGCAGGAGACAACGTTGGATCTGGACTCAGCATTTGGAAGTTCCGTGTACACTCTGGTATCTGTTGGGGGTGTCTTGGGCCTCTGAGAAGGGCGAGTGATTTTTCTCTGTGTGAAAACGCAGTGATCCAACTGTACGTATGTCACCTCCTGAGGGTCTTGTTCATCAGAGTCCTGGAGAGAGGGAAATCCTGAGTGAGGGAGGGTGCTCACATTTTCCAGGACTGTTTGGGAATAACACTAGCCACGAGGCTGGGCCGAGGAGCACCTACCTAGCTATTCGCTGTTCTGTTCCCTGCAGGCTCTTGGTCCATTACAGCAGCATGTGTAGGAGACGGAAGTCAACAAAAGAGCTCGGAGGGCACTTCTGGGTCCTCATTTCATAAGCAGATACCAACAAACAGGGGGAGGCCATAGGAGCCTGAGGTCCCTCAGTTGCCAACAGCAGACTCAGACATTCTATCTCTCTGAGCTCAAGGACCCATCCCATGAATAGCTCTGAGTTCCCATCCCATTGATTCTGTCTCCCACTTTCTGCCTGTCATGGAACCTTCTCCTGGATGTGAGTGGCTGCAGGGGACGTGAGGATACAGTTCAGAATCAGGCAACGGTCTGTGAGCTGAAGGCAGGGACAGGGAGTCTGGTGCCCTCTCTAGAAAGTCCTGCCTCTGTGGCTGCTGCCTTGGGCCAGGGACCATCCTACCTGTGAGGAACACACACCTGAGTGCTCCCATCCTGCTTCCCCACATGGCCCGGAGCTCTCTGGCCTCTCCTTCGTAAGACTTACTTTTCTTGTTGGAGCACCAGCGATGAAGGAGAAAGAAGAGGAGGAGGATGAAGAGGATGATGACCACTGAGGTCCCAATCAGAACGTGCAGGTGTCTTGGGTTACCTGGAAGAAGATGAGACACCAATAAGAAGCTAATCATAGCAGTTCCTTTTTATGAATTGTCTCGCATTTCTTGATTGACAGGTAACCACGTAATACACCTCTTTAGGACAAGCACCCAGATGGCGGGAGACCCAGCTTTCTCCTGCTTTCTCAGTTATAGCTCTCAAAGTAACCATAGAATGTGCTGAGGATACAACTACTTTAGTTGAGATGTTTGACCCCTTCAAACCTCACATTGAAATTTCACCCCCATTGTGGGAGGTTGGGCCTCTTGAGAGGTGTTTGGGTCATGGAGGTGGATCCATCATGAACAGATCAATGCTGTCCCAAGGAGACGGGGTTAGCAAGTTCCCCCTCTATTAGTTCCTGGAGAGCTGGTTGTTCAAAAGAACTTGGAAGCTCCATCACTCCCCCTCCCCCTTGCTCCCTCTCTTGCCGTGTGATCTCTGTGGTCTCTGCACAGACAGACCCTCCTTCCCTTCTGCCAGAGTGGGAGCAGCCTGAGGCCATCACGAGAAATAGATGCTGGTGCCATGCTTCCAGTACAGCCTGCAGAACGGTGAGACAAACCAATCTCTTTTCTTTAGAAGTTGCCCAGGCTCAAGTGTTCCTTTAGAGCAACAAAAATGGACTAAGACAGCAACGTCCTGAGATCAGGAGGAACGTCCCAGAGCAGCCTGGGCTGTCTTCCTGTTCTTCCTGGAGGAGGACGTCATGCAGTGCTTTAGCTGAGTGCTTCCTGTGGCTCCAGGGTACAAAACCCAGGCTGGGCTGCTTTCTGGCTTCCCCCAGCTACACTGCAAATGGGGTGACTCCATATGTCCCGAGCAGCTTTTCTGAGCCTTGAGGGACTGGCTCACATTGAAATGTAGGCTTCTGTTTTCACTCGCTGCTTATCTGTTAGTAATGAACCTGCCTATGTAACGTATTCTCTGTGTGTTCTGTCTCCCTGGAGTGACGGTGAGTGATAGGAATTGGCGTAGGCCCAGGTGCAGTCTAGGAGGTGTTTAGGGTCTTTTCTGGGAAGACTGCACTGGGATTGACACACAGCGAATGTGCTTTAGGATTTCTACATCCACAGCATTCTTGAGTCAAACAACTTGCGTTCTCCAAGGAAAGGAAACAAAAGTGAAATCAAGATAAAAAAGCGAAATAGAGTTATCTTATGTCCAACAGCCAGGAAATCGTGTTGAAGCCCCTGTGAAACGTCCTACTCTTTGTGATCTCGGGAGACACATGTTAGGCTGCTGTTCTACCTGAGAGGCTGGGGGAAGGACCACCCCCTCCACCATCTATTGCTTCAATACCACCTGTCCTCCTGTGAATTAGTAGGAAAGGGGAGCAGGAGCTAGTGCTGGTGCTGATCTCTCATTCCAAGATCTGGACTCACTCCAAGGAGTATTAATGTTTACCTCCCCATGGTCTATCTGAATCTCCACAGGTGATTGGAAGTAGGGGTGAAGTGGGGGATTTGAGTGAGACGGCAAGTTTTTTTTGTGATGAACAGAGCACTTTCTCTATTCCACGATCTGTGCTGGAGGATTCAGCGGGCTTTCACATTTTCTATATGGTCTCATGCTCACAGAAAGCCAAATACGGAAGAGGTTTTAGGCTCATTGCCTAATGGATAAGACAAAGGATCAAAGAAGTAATTATAGAGAAATACAAAAATGATGATTGGAATTCAGGTGCCTTTGTCATTCGTGTGTGTTTTATTATATTTATGCATTTCTTATTTTTATTTTTTGAGACGGAGTCTCCTTGTGTCACCCAGGCTGGAGTGCAGTGATGCAATCTCCACTCACTGCAACCTCCACCTCCTGGGTTGAAGTCATTCTCCTGCTTCATCCTCAAGAGTAGGAGCTGGGATTACAGGGATGCACCACCATGCTCGACTAATTTTTGTATTTTTCATAGAGACAGGGTTTCACCATTTTGGCCAGGCTGGTCTGGAACTCCTGACTTCAAGTGATCCACCCGCCTTGGCCTCCTGCAGTGCTGGGAATTGCCTTTTCCACGGCCTGAGCATGGGGCCGTGGCTGAATGAGTCAGTGAGTCGAAGTGTGCGTGCATGAGCTCCGTTCTCTGTTAAGGCAAAGCTCTTGCTCTGCTGAGTCAGCCAGGGTTGCTTCATGACCAACAGTAATTCATTCCTGGGCAAGTGGAACTTCTCTAAAACACCTCGCCCTCATCAAATGTTCCCTACCCTTCCCTCTCTCAAGCCCCCAGGAATTTATCCTCCAGTTAGGAATGCAGGCAGAACAAACATTGCATTTTTCCTGAGAAGGATGTCAGATTGCCAATCATTTTTCTAGCTTGTAGGAGATCTCAGCTCCATAAAATGAGAGATTAAGAGATTTCACTCAGCCCTGTTTTGGGTCCAGATCCCTTTCGCTGTTGGAGTATCTGGAGTTCGGAGATGGTAGAAGACAGGCGTACAATGTCAGAGCTGTGAGATGCTGAGTCAACGCCTGAATCCAAGGTTTCCACCTCCCCAGGTTTCCAAAAGCGGATATAAGAGGGTTCTGTACTCACCGGTTTCGGAGCTTGGTTCAGTGGGTGAAGGCCAACTATTTGAAGGGTTTCCTAGAACACGAGACAGGAGAGAGGTGAGGAAATGAGGGTGTCTGTCCTCTACTCAGTGGAAATCTTTGAGGTTGGTTCATGGCCAACACTCTGTTATCTAATATTGGGCCCTGGGAGTCCTGGGATCCTTTTTTCCGTAATTTTTGTATGTGACGGCTACTGTCTTGAGACTTCAAGGTATAAAGAGAAAACAGGAGCATCACACTACCTGATCTCAAAATATGTTGCAGAGCTGTAGTAAGCAAGACAGCATGACATTGGCATGAAGAAAGGCACATAGAACAACGGAGCAGAATGAATAACACAGATATAATCCATGCATTTACCTCCAATGTATTTTTTGTTTTTCTTTTGAGATGGAGTCTTGCTCTGTCACCCAGGCTGGAGTGCAGAGGTGCAATCTCGGTTCACTGCCACCACAGCCTCCTGGGTTCAATCACTTCTCTGGCCTCAAACTCCTGAGTAGTGGTATTACAGGTGCTGACCACCATGCTCAGCTAATTTTTATATTTTTAGTGGAGACGATGTTTCATCACGTCGGCCAGAGTAATCTTGTACTCCTGTCCTCAGGTGATCCACCAGCCTTGGCCTCCCAAAGTGCTGAAGTTGCTGGTGTTAGCCACCATGCCCAGCCCATCCAATGGACTTTGACAAAGGTGCCAAGAACTCACAATCAGGAAAGGACAGTCTTTTCAATAAACAGTGCAGGGAAACCTGGACATCTACATGCAGAGGAATGAAACTGCACCTCTGCCTGTCACTATACACAAAAATCAAATGAAAATGGATTAAAGATGTGAGTCTAAGGCCTGAACCTATGAAACACGTAGAAGAAAATATTGGGGAAATGCTCCAGGACGTTTGTCTGAGGGAAGACATTTTGTTTTAAACCTTGAAAACACAAGTAATCGAAGCAAAAATAGACCATTGGGATTACCTCAAACTAAGCAACTTCTGCACTGCTAAAAATAAACCAACAAAGTGAAGAGACAACCCACAGATTGGGAGCAAATATGTGCAAACTATGCATCTGAGATGGGATTAATAACTAGAAATATAAGAAGCTCAAACAACTCAATAAAACAAATGATTTAATTGAAACAGGAGCAAAAGACATGAAATTTCCCCACATACTAAAAAGTGCTCAGTATCACTCATCATCAGAGAAACGCAAATTAAAATCAAAGTGAGTTTTCATCTCACCCCATTAAAATGGCTTTTAGGCCGGGTGAGGTGGCTCACGTCTGTCATCCTAGAACTTTGAGAGCCTGAGGTGGGTGAATCTCATAAGGTCGGGAGTTTGAGACCAGTCTGACCCACATGGAGAAACACTGTCTCTACTAAAAATACAAAAATTAGTCGGGCGTGGTGGCGTGTGCCTGTAATTCCAGCTACTCGGGAGGCTGAGGCAGGAGAATCGCTTGAACCTGGGAGGTGGAGGTTGCGGTGAGCCGAGATCGCACCACTGCACTCAGCCTGGGTGACAAGAGCGAAACTCCATCTCAAAATAAAATGAAATAAAATAAAATGGCTTTTAGCTGCAAGACAGGCAAAAGAAATGCTGGCAAGGTGTTAGAGAAAGGAGAATCCTGGTATCCTGTTGGGAGGAGTGTAAATTAGTACAGCCATTACGGAGAAAAGTGTGGAAGTCCTTTAAAGAACTAAAAAGAGGTTGGGTGAGGTGGATCAGGCCTGTAATCCCGGCACTTTGGGAGACCGAGGCGGGCACCTCAGTTGAGGTCATGAGTTTGAGAGCAGCCCAGCCAACATGGGGAAACCGCATCTATACTAAAAAAAACAAAAAGTAGCCAGGCATGGTGGCGTGCGCCTATAATCCCTGATACTAGGGAGGCTGAGGCAGGAAAATCATTTGAACCCAGGAGGCAGAGGTTGCAATGAGCCAAGATCATATCACTTGTACTCCAGCCTGGCACAGAGGGAAACTGTCTCAAAAACAAAAACAAAACAACAAACGAAAAACTAAAAAGAGAACTTTCATAGTATCCAGCAATTTCACTACTGGGTTTATATCCAAAGGAAAGTAAATCAATATATCGAAGTGATATCTGCACTCGTATGATTGGTGCAGCACTCTTCACAGTAGCCAAGATGTGGAGTCAACCTACCTGCCCATCAGTGGGTGAATGGATAGAGAGAATGTGGTACATTTGCATAGTGGAGACTACTCTTCCATAGAAAGAATAACATCCTGATATTTGCAGCCACATGGATGGAACTGGAGGTCATTACAAAGATTCCCATTTCTTACCCATATACAGGAGCTAAAAGGTGGATCTCATGAAGGTAGAGAGTAGAATGGTGGCTACCAGAGGCCAGGAAGAAAAGGGTGGAGGGTAAAAAAAAATATATGTGTATATATATATATATTAATGTATTTATGACCACTAGACTTTACACTTAAAAATGGTAAATGTGGCTGGGCGTGGTGGCTCATGCCTGTAATCCCAGCACTTTGGGAGGCTGATGCGGGTGGATCACGTGGTCAGGAGTTCGAGACCAGCTTGACCAACATGGTGAAACCCCCTCTCTACTAAAAATACAAAAAGTAGCCTGGCATGGTGGTGCGCGCCTGTAGCACCAGCTACTCAGGTGGCTGAGGCAAGAGAATCGCTTGAACCCAGGAGGCGGAAGTTGCAGTGAGCTGAGATTGTGCCAATGCACTCCAGCATAGGGGACAGAGCTAGACTCCGCCTCAAAAAAAAAAATGTTAAAGGTGGTAAGCTATATAGTTATATTTATCCTCAATAAATATTTCTCAAACAAAAGTAAACGGTGTAGGGGTTGCAGGTGATGACATCCCTGTGTGGGTGGGAGGCCAGGATGGGCTTCTGGGAAATGGGTAATGTTGAGGGGCTGAGGGAACCTCTGATCTTCCCAAACTGAGCCCAGTCTCCCTCCTCTGGGTCTCTCCTGACCGCTTTCTCCATCTGCCTGGGTGCCTGGAGTCCTGGCCGCAGGCCTTCATGCAGGCCATGTAGGAGGGTTTGGAGGTGCCCTGTCTGCCATCCTGTGCCCTGATCCCTCCCTCACACCCAAGCTTCGTCTTCTCTCTGCATCTGTTCATCCTTCTCTCCATCCTCAGCAGGAAGCTCCTCAGCTAAGGCTCTAGGATCATAGGACATGGGACAGCCATGGGCTTTCCTCACCTGTGACAGAAACAAGCAGTGGGTCACTCGAGTTTGACCACTGGTAGGGAGAGTCACGGAAAGAGCCGAAGCATCTGTAGGTTCCTCCGTGGGTGGCAGGGCCCAGAGGAAAGTCAGCCTGGAATGTTCCGTTGACCTTGGGCCCTGCAGAGAACCTACGTTCATGGGCCTCCCCCTCCGTGGATAGATGGTACATGTCATAGGAGCTCCGGGAGCTGCAGGACAAGGTCACGCTCTCTCCTGCCAGAACCGTGGGGCCCGGCTGGGCTGAGAGAGAAGGTTTCTCATATAGACCTGGAAGGAGAAGAGGCATTTTCCTTACGGAGGCTCTTCCTTGTCACAGCTCCCTTCACCTGAGCTGAGAACTCACTCCCCTGCTCTATGACCTAATGCTCTCTCTCTCTCTCTCTCACCCTCCACCCCATCTCTCTTCATGTCTATTTCCTCCTTCCACCTTCTCTGTCTCTCTAGGTCTCTGACCTCGCTTCCACACCTCTAGATATGTTTTCCCTTTTTGGATTGTTTTATTCTCTCTGACTCTCCTTGGATTGGTTCACTTGATGTTACTTTTTTAAATTCTAAGTTTCTCACTTTGTGTCCTGTTCATAACTTTCTGCATATTTCTATCTATTATCTGTCGATCTATCTATTTATCTATTCGGTGCCTATCTACAAATTCTCTACCTGTCATCTATATCTATATATCATCTATGTATCTATCACTTGTCTATCTATCCATCAATCATCTGTTATCTATATCTATGTATCATCTCTCTCTCTATGACTTCTGTCTGCCTCTCTATCTCTATGTATTATCTATCTGTCTTCATCATCATCATCTCTATGTCTCATCTATTAATGAATCAATCAATCATCATCTATGTATCTTTAACCTATTATCTATCATCTACCTATTTATCATCTATCTATATCTAACCATCTATCATCTGTCTTGCTCTGCCTCTCGGTCTCTCTAGTTCTCTTTGGAATCTCTGCAATTCATCCCCACATCTCCATCTTTCTATGTCCTTGTGCCTCTCCCTCAGGACTCTAATTTTAGTGCTTTTCTCTGCTCCCTTCCATCATTCTCACCACTCCTCTGCCCTCTTTTCTCTCTCTTTATGTGTCTGTGAGTCTCTCAATCTCCTTCCTCTGGCTCATTCTCTGTGTGTTTATGTCTTTGCTTTTTGGTGTCCCTGATTTCTCTCTGTGCCTCTCAGTGATCCTTTCATATGTGGGGTTATTTGGAATGTGAGCCTCAGAATCCAGTCTGGAGACCACAAGTTCACACAGCATACAGGGGTTGGTGTTCTGGGGCCATGATATCCTGGGACGGTTACTCTCCATTACATGGAAGGCAGAGGTGTCAGAATAAACACGGCATCTGTAGGTGCCACAAGGCCTGAGGCCACAGGGCCCAACTCAGGTCAGAAATATGGGTGTCCTTGGGTTCTCCTGGTAGAGAACACTTTGTGGAGGTAAAACAGAAATGAAACTTCTAACCTGTGCCAGGTCTCTGAGCAAAGTCAGCATGGAGGGACACCTCTCTCTGGGACATGTCTGTCTGTCTGTCTCCTTTAACTCCTTCTGTCTTTTCTAACTCCCGGTATGGCCCCTGTGTCTGTCCTCTGTTATGACACCTGGTCTGTACTTGTGTCTCCTGTTTCTCTGTCTCTGTTGGTACAGACCTCACCAAGTCAGTCTCTCTCCATAAGAATACCAAGCTCATCTTCCTTACAACTACCTGGGGGTTCCAAGTCGTGGATCATTCACTCTGCATCCCAATGACAATGAGAAGAATGTCCGGACACTCTCACCTGTGATGACGATGTCCAGAGGGTCACTGGGAGCTGACAACTGATGGGGGAGTGAGTAACAGAACCGTAGCATCTGTAGGTCCCTGCCAGGTCTTCCATCATGGGACCGATGGAGAAGTTGGCCTTGGAGACCCCATCATGGTGCTCTCCAGTGAGGTGCAAAGTGTCGTTAAATGTCCCCTCTCTGTGCAGAAGGAAGTGCTCAAACCTGACATCTGACCAACATTGCAGGATGACTGTCTCTTCTGATTTCACCAGGGGACCTGGGTGGGCCAGGAGGGAAGGTTTTCTGTGGACTCCTAGGAAGAGAGGTTGTGAGTTTAGAAGGTGTCTCTCTTTATCATCCCATCCATGGCACCTAGAATGAGTGAGGCTTCCCCTTGCTGGTGTCTGTCTCTCTCCTTCCTCTCTGTGTCTTCATGTTCTTTTCTGTGCCCATAACTCCTGGTGCAGGTCCTTCCATCTGTCTCCCTCCCTCTTCTCTGTCTCTCTGTCTCTAGTCGCCTCTGATTCCCTTCCCACTGGGCTTAGCCTCATCTCTTGGGGTGTTGTATCTATTTCACACTAATGTCTTTCCTGCTGTTTATGTGGGGGTGAAAGAGGAACCAGGATAGGCTGCACATCCAGCCTCTTATCAGCCTGGTTCAATCTCTTTTGGATGAATTGGAATCCTTGGCAGGAGGTATGAACTGATGAATAAGGCAGGCAGCAGTGTCCACACACCCTGTTCCTGGTCGGGACTGGGAGCCACTCTTGCCATGCCTGTGCCTTCTCCATGGTGCCAGCTTCCATAGGCTGGCTCCTGGTGCTGGTTTGAGGAGTATCAACCCCTCCCTATGTGGATGGAGCCTGGTGGTGGCATCATCATCCCACACTTGCTGATCTAGGTGTAGCCAACCTTCCCCTTGTTTGGTTCCTTTAATTAATTAATTAATTATGGAGATCAGAGTCTCACTCCTTCACCCCAGCTGGAGTGAAGTGGTGTGGTCTAGGGTCACTGCAACTTCTGTCTCCTGGGTTCAAGTGATTCTCCTGCCCTCAGCCTCCCAAGTCGCTAGGATTACATGCGCCTGCCACCACACCCGGCTATCCTTGTGTTGTTTCTTAACTTGTCCTTGACCTGGGTTCCAGTGTTGGTTTCCTGTTGCTGCTGTAGAAAATTATCAGCAGCATGGCAGCAGGAGAGAGCACACTGACCCATTTCACTACTGGAGACAGAAATAGGACCCTGTTTTTCCTGGGCTAAAATCAAGGTATCTGCAGGGCTTCGTTCCCTCTGGAGACTCTGGAGAATCATTTCCTTGACTTTTCCAGCCTCTACAGGCCACCTGCATTCATGGCTCCTGGACTTCCTCCACCTTCAAAGCTGGTGGAGTCTCCCATTGCGCTGCTCTAATCCCCACTCCCCTCTTCCTCCTCCTTTCATGTGGACCCTTGTGATTACACTGAGCCCAGCGGGACAGTCCAGGCTGTCTCCCCATCTCAAGGTCAACTCATCAACAACCTGAGCTCCATCTTCCCCTTCAGTTCCTTCCCCTATAACATAAATAGTCACAGACTCCAGGGATTAGAATGTAGTCATCACTGGGGACAATTATTCTTCCCACCACAGCACCCATTTCCCTGTATTCAATCCCCCTTTACCCCAAATATAGTCAGGGCCTGGGTGATGGGACCCTCAAGGACACGCCCACCAGAAGCTCTGGGATTCAGGAGGTGGGAAAGGAGAATCCAAGACAGGAGCCCTCTGACCTGTGGCCATGATCACCAGGGGGTTGCTGGGTGCCGACCACCCACTGGGGGAGTGTGGGTGTGAACCCCGACATCTGTACGTCCCTGTGTGTGCTGGGGTCACAGGGCCCATGAAAAGGCTCTTCCAGAATATTCTGTTGTAGAGCTCAGTGCCAGGCACCCCATCTTCCTTTTACAGACTGAAGTTGTTAAACCCAAGATAAGAATGACACCGAAGAATCACATGTCCTGGAGGCACCACAGAGCTGGGCCAGGCAGACAGCAAGGGCTTGTCCTGACCACCTTGGGGAGAAGGAGGCACCGCCTTAGAGAGGAGGATGTGGAGCCACCCCTCCCTCCCTGTGCTCTGAAGATTCTCCTCGCTTTCCAAGTTTCTATGGCTGCTATCACACCTTGGTGCCCAGGGCTAAAGGAAGGACCCATCCCGCAAACACAAGGTGTCTCCCTACAACAAAAGTGTCAGCTGAGAACTTTGAGCAAGTGCTGAGTAAGAGACTCCTACTAGATTTTAATACTGTAAGATTACTCACATAAAACAACACAGGGTAGACATGGGGTGGAGGGCATGGCCTTTGAGAATGGAATATCAGCCGATGCCTGAATGAAAATAAGCAACTGAGCCCCCATCAGAGGATTTGGAATGTCAGGGCCATGGCTGTGGTTTCCCACCTCTTCTGGTGGAGTGACAGCAGCCACACTGCAGCCCCTACCGTCATGGAAACGCTGAAGTGTGAGTAACACCTTTGTCCTCAGAGGATCTGCTGTTCCTACCACTTCCCCACCACACACCCCAGCTTTGAGCACCCCAGTCTAACCCTGGTCCCCACAGAACTTGACTCTGCCAAGGGAATGAAAGGCCAGGGAGGCGAGGTCGGAACTGTGGGCCGAGCACCCCAGGGTCCCCTCTTCCTAGTTTATGAGAGGCTCCCCGACAGGACTTCCCTCCTGTTTCAGGAAAATCCTCTTATGTGGGGAGATGACACCCGAAGGTTTGGAGAAGGACTCACCCTCATGTGGCCAGGCCCCCTGCAGCAAGAAGAACCCTGGAAAGAAAGATCATGATGGACCATCCATCTGCAGGCGAACCAGCCCTCCCTTGCTGCCCTCACTGGGCTGTGAGTCTTGGTAGGCAGGCCCTTCCTGGGCTGAAGTTAAACTCACCCTCAGTGCCTACCTGCACCCAAGAACAGGGCTGTCGGCTGTGCAGAGACCCAGCCTCCAAGCCCAGATCCCCACCACAAGCCCATATCCCCACCAGAAGCCCATATCTCCACTCCAGGCCAATATTTCCACCCTAGGCCTGTATCTCCACTCCAGGCCCATATCTCCACTCCAGGCCGATATTTCCATCATAGGCCCATATCGCCAATCCAGGCCCATATCGCCAATCCAGGCCAAGATCTTCACTGTAAGCCCATATCTCCAATCCAGGCCCATATCTCCACTCCAGGCTCAGATCTCCACCCTAGGCCCATATCTCCAATCCAGGCCCATATCTCCACACCAGGCCCATATCTCTACTGAAGGCCAGTAACTCCACCTCCAGGCCCATATCTCCACTCCAGGCCCAGATCTCCACCCCAAGCCCATATCTCCACCCCAGGCCCATATCTCTACTGAAGGCCCGTAACTCCACCTCCAGGCCCATATCTCCACCCCAGGCCCAGATCTCCACCCCAAGCCCATATCTCCACTCTAGGCCCATATCTCCTCTCCAGTCCCATATCTCCACAACCAGGCCCATATCTCCATCCTAGGCCCATATTTCCACTCTAGGCCCAGATATCCACCTCTAGGCCCATATCTCCACTCCTGGCCCAAATCTCCACTCCAGGCCCATATCTCTACTATAGGCCTATAACTCCACCTCCAGGCCCATATCTCCACTCCAGGCTCCTATCTCCCCTCCAGGTTCCTATCGGCACTCCAGGCCCAGATCTCCACTTCTAGGCCCATCACTCCATCTCTAGGCCCATATATCCACTCCAGGCCCAGATCTCCACTCCAGGCCCACAACTCCACCTCCAGGCCTATATCTCCACCTCTGGGCCCAGATCTCCAACCCCACACTCCCTTCCTCTATTCCCTTCCAGGACTCACCAACACACGCCATGCTGACGACCGTGAGCGACATGGTGCTGCCGGTGCAGACAGGCGGCCGCGCCCCAGCTCAGCTCAGCAGCGCACAGGATGTTATTTGGCGCCCTGCCCATGCAGTTTACATGTTGACCACATCATGGGAGGGTGACGTACGCAGGCTCATTCTACCTTGCATGAGGCCCAGTGGGTGCTCGCTCAAGAGCGGAACACGGCTTCCTGGAAATTGTTCTCACTAGAATTTACACCTAGCGTCCTTCACTATGACCAACTCAAAACACGTCTCAGATCCAACCTCCTGAACACGAGATGCCTAAAATCTGTGCTAACGTGAAAGACTTTTCATGTATTTTTATTGTTTTTATCTGAGATTCAAACTCTTCTTCATGTGTAATATGCAAAATATCTAATAGGTATTATTAAGGTTTTCAGAGTCATTGTGACTAATAAACCATTAGAATTTTTCATGCTTGTATTTCTAGTATTACAGCAGAACCAGTTAAAATGATTTAAATTCCCAGGGAAGGATTATGCAATTATTTACAATCTTTGAATTGTACGTTATCAGCAAAAACCACACATTTAAACTCTGGATTTTTGTAGATTTATCTAAAATTTGTCTCATGACCCAAGTTTCCAGAGTCCCAACTCTGGAGTTTGTTCTCTCTCTGTCTCTCTGCCTCCCTCATTTTAAATTTTACAGAAATATCCAGTAACATAATGCTATAGAAAATCAAGTTTCCCCCAGCACGTCGGGAAGCCGAGGTGGGCGGATCAACTGATATAAGGAGTTTGAGAGCAGCCTGGCAACACAGTGAAACCGTGTCTCTGCTAAAAATCCAAAAATTAGCCGTGCCCAGTGGCAGGAACTTGTAACGCCAGCTACCCAAGAGGCTGAGGCACGAGAATCGCTTGAACCTGGGAGGCGGAGGTTGCAGTGAGCTGAGATTGCACCACTGCAGTCCAGCCTGGGCGACAGAGCAAGACTCCGCCTCAAGAAAATAAAAATAGCAAATAGCCTATAATAACAAATTAGAGGCCTCTGGCTACTAAATTTAAAGGGTTCTATGGGGCTACATAAAGTGGAGCATCCTCAAGAATGTGGACACAGAGAGCCGTTTAGCAGAGACAGTGTCTAAAATACACATCCGTGTACACACAGTCCCTTTTTAGTTGACAAAGCTGCCGTGTGGTTTAAGGTGGCATAGAATGTCTTCTCAATAAATAATATTAAACCAAAGGGTTACACATAGGAAATAATAAATCTAAACTTATTCTCACACTATAAAAACACTTCTTAGTTTTTATCTAGTTATTGTACATTTTTTATGATTTATATTTAAATTTGAGAAATAAAAGTCCTATACCGTCATCCTTCACTATTCATGGGTGATTGGTTTCGAGATCTCCACTCAGATACTAAAATCTGCAGATGCTCAAGCCTCTTACGTAAAATGACACAGCATTTGGATATAACCCATGCACATCCTCCTGTATACATGAAATCATCTCTTGATTACTTATAATTCCTGATACAGCCTATACACCACCTCATTTGTGTGCATTCAACACAGTTTTGCTTTTTGGAACTTTGTGGGCTTTTTCTCTGAATATTTTTGATTTATACTTGGTTCAATAAACACCTGTAAACCCCACAGATACGGAGGAGCGACTGTATATTTATAGTATGAAAGATGATGCGTTGACATGTGTCCCCGTGGAGATGAGACTAACAAGGCCTATGACTCTACAAATGTTTCATCATGGAATGACTCTGCCAGCTTTCCAGGTCTGCAGAGAGTAAGAATATCACTTGTTCATGTGATTCACGATCCTTGGAACTTCCTATGTGCTGCATCTTTGGATGGAAATTGGAGTCTCAGAGACAAGTCAGGGTCCACCCTGTTCCAGAAGCTCAGAGTCCAGGGGTGAGAACCCAGTGGAGAACAGATGGGGTTATGTGGACATGGTAATGATAACACCGGAAGCCTTAGGAAAGAAAAGAGTCCCATTACCGAAACGATGAGGGCAGACATGTTTATTTGAAGGAGGGAAAACTACATTGAAATTACTAAAAACAATTTATAAGTTTTACTGCTGACAGAAGGCTGAAAGATAGTCTGAGGGGAGGTGGAACTGCATGAGGGAAGGTGGAACAGCACGTGTCTAAGTGCCGTGTTAAGAGGGAGCCTCTTGTATGTTTGGAATTGTGAGTTCCTCAGTGTGATTGCAGCCTCAAGTAGACTAGGAAGTAAGCCAGTTAGGTTGGAGAGGTGGGCAGGGGTCAAGTGAAATGGAGAATTGTGGGCTAAGCAAAGGAGTGTGTTTTCTCTGCAGCAGGCAGTGGGGACCTTAGACATTTGTAAGCAAGAGAGAGGCATGTTCAGATTCGTGGTGTGAGGAAGAGCGATGCCCTAAGATGAAGACTGATGCCTTCAGATTCCAGCTGCTGGTACATGGGAGCTGGCAACCCGGTTTTGAGACAGGGCTGTTGTCTCCCTAGAAGATCCCCTCAAGGCCTGACTGTGGTGCTCGTGGACAGAAGACAGCTTTGGATCTGGACTCAGCATTTGGAAGTTCTATGTACATGCTGCTATCTGTTGGGGGTGTCTTGGGCCTCTGAGAAGGGGGAGTGATTTTTCTCTGTGTGAAAACACAGTGATCCAATTATGCGTATGACACCTCCTGATGGTCCTGTTCATCAGAATCCTGGAGAGAGGGAAATGCTGAGTGAGGGAGGGTGCTCACATTTTTCAGGACTCTTTGGGAATAAGACTAGCCACGAGGCTGGGCCGAGGAGCACCTACCTCCCTGTTCACTGTTCTGTTCCCCGCAGGCCCTTGGTCCATTACAGATGCATCTGTAGAAGATGGAAGTCAACAAAACAGCTCGGAGGGCACTTCTGGGTCCTCATTTCATAAGCAGATACCAACAAACAGGGGGAGGCCATAGGTGCCTGAGGTCCCTCAGTTGCCAACAGCAGACTCAGACATTCTATCTCTCTGAGCTCAAGGACCCATCCCATGAATAGCTCTGAGTTCCCATCCCATTGATTCTATCTCCCACTTTCTGCCTGTCATGGAACCTTCTCCTGGATGTGAGTGGCTGCAGGGGACGTGAGGGTACAGTTCAGAATCAGGCAATGGTCTGTGAGCTGAAGGCAGGGGCAGGGAGTCTGGTGCTCTCTCTAGAAAGTCCTGCCTCTGTGGCTCCTGTCTTGGGCCAGGGACCATCCTGCCTGTGAGGAACACACACCCACGTGCTAACATCCTGCTTCCCCACATGGCCCTGAGCTCTCTGGCCTCTGCTTCGTGAGACTTACTTTTTTTGTCGGAGCACCAGCGATGAAGGAGAAAGAAGAGGAGGATGGTGAAAGGGAGTTTGACCACTGAGGTCCCAATCAGAACGTGTAGGTGTCTGGGGTTACCTGGAAGAAGAGGAGACACCAATAAGAAGCTAATCATAGCAGTTCCTCTTTATGAATTGTCTCGCATTTCTTGATTGACAGGTAACCACATACAACGTCTCTTTAGGACAAGCACCCAAATGGTGGGAGACCTAGCTTTCCCCTGCTTTCTCAGTTATAGCTCTCATAGTAACCATAGAACGTGCTGAGGATACAACTACTTTAGTTGAGATGTCTGACCCCTTCAAACCTCACATGGAAATTTCACCCCCATTGTGGGAGGTTGGGCCTCTTGGGAGGTGTTTGGGTCATGGAGGTGGATCCATCATGAACAGAACAATGCTGTCCCAAGGAGACGGGGTTAGCAAGTTCCCCCTCTATTAGTTCCTGGAGAGCTGGTTGTTAAAAAGAGCTTGGAAGCTCCATCGCTCCCCCTCCCCCTTACTCTCTCTCTTGCCGTGTGATCTCTGCGGTCTCTGCACAGACAGACCCTCCTTCCCTTCTGCCAGAGTGGGAGCAGCCTGAGGCCGTCACAAGAAATAGATTCTGGTACCATGCTTCCAGTACAGCCTGCAGAACGGTGAGGCAAACCGATCTCTTTTCTTTAGAAGTTACCGAGGCTCAAGTTTTCCTTTAGAGCAACAAAAAAAAACTACGACAGCAACGTACTGAGATCAGGAGGAATGTCTCAGAACAGCCTGGGCTGTCTTCCTGTTCTTCCTGGAGGAAGGCGTCATGCAGTGCTTTAGCTGAGTGCTTCCTGTGGCTCCAGGGTACAAAACCCAGGCTGGGCTGCTTTCTGGCTTCCCCCAGCTACACTGCAAATGGGGTGACTCCATATGTCCCGAGCAGCTTTTCTGAGCCTTGAGGGACTGGCTCACATTGAAATGTAGGCTTCTGTTGTCACTCGCTGCTTATCTGTTAGTAATGAACCTGCCTGTGTAATGTATTCTCTGTGTGTTCTGTCTCCCTGGAGTGACGGTGAGTGATAGGAATTGGCATAGGCCCAGGTGCAGTCCAGGAGGTGTTTAGAGTCTTCTCTGGGAAGACTGCACTGGGATTGATACACAGCGACTGTGCTTTAGGATTTCTACATCCACGGCATTCTTGAGTCAAACAACTTGCATTCTCCAAGAAAAGGAAACAAAAGTGAAATCAAGATAAAAAAAGCGAAGTAGAATTCTCTTATGTCAAATGGCCAGGAAACAGTGTTGAAGCCCATGTGAAACGTGCTACTCTTTGTGATCTCAGGAGACACATGTTAGGTTGCTGTTCTACCCGAGAGGCTGGGGGAAGGACCACCCCCTCGGCCATCTATTGCTTCAATACCACCTGTCCTCCTGTGAATTAGTAGGAAAGGGGAGCAGGAGCTACTGCTGACGCTGATCTCTGATTCCAAGATCTGGACTCACTCCAAGGAGTATTAGAATTTACCTCCCCATGGCCTATCTGAATCTCCACAGATGATTGGAAGTAGGGGTGAGGTGGGGGATTTGGGTGAGAGGGCATGTTTTCTTGTGATGAACAGAGCACTTTGTGTATTCCAGGATCTGTGCTGGAGGATTCAGCGGGCTTTCACATTTTCTATATGATCTCATGCTCACAGAAAGCCAAATAGGGAAGAGGTTTTAGGCTCATTGCCTAATGGATAAGATAAAGGATCAAAGAAGTAATTATAGAGAAATAGAAAAATCATGATTGGAATTCAGGTCCCTTTCTCATTTGCATGTGTTATATTATATTTATATTTATGCATTTCTTATTTTTATTTTTTGAGACGGAGTCTCCTTGTGTCACCCAGGCTGGAGTGCAGTGATGCAATCTCCACTCACTGCAACCTCCACCTCCTGGGTTGAAGTCATTCTCCTGCTTCATCCTCCAGAGTAGGAGCTGGGATTACAGGGATGCACCACCATGCTCGGCTAATTTTTGTGTTTTTCCTAGAGACAGGGTTTCACCATGTTGGCCAGGCTGGTCTCGAACTGCTGACTTCATGTGATCCACCCGCCTTGGCCTCCTGCAGTGCTGGGTTACAGGCGTGAGCCACCGTTCACAGACTTGTATATTATGCTATAATAGGTCCCTTCATTTCCACCACCCCTCATATATCTGTCACTCCTTTGCCAGGTATTGATTTATGTGTAGTAGGAATAAAGCTCAGAAAGAAATTAAGCGAGGATTAGACAACTAGGAAAATCATACCCAGCAAGCCTTTCCAGCCAATGATTCCACCTCACAAGCATAGCTTATATCCATCTGCTTCACCCAGTTAGGGTCTAAATCAGCACCACATTTCACCAGTGGGGCGGGAATTGCCTTTTCCACAGTCTCCTAGATTCCAGTTATGCACCTGGGCCTCCCTTATTTTCATGTCAGTCACTATTAATCATGTAGGGATTCCTGGCTACCCCGAGGTGAATCCAATGGCTGTGAGTGTCAAACACACACTCCTTGTTGCTCCTTAGTTTCCTGTGTACCCAGTGTGCTCTCCGTCTCTCCACAGTCGTCTTGTCATTCTCCCCACCTCATTCCCAGCATTTGAGGCAGAGCCTCTTCCTTCCACATCAGATTGTTTTCAGCTTTCTGCCTTCACGGCTGACAGCTGTGTGTGGAAAATCCTTCCGCCAATCTTTCAGGGGTTCAATCCGTGTTTTTCATTAATGTCACAAATATCTGATTAGTGAGATCTTCTCTGTCACCCAAAATCATACACTCAGCATTATGTATTATTTATTTTAAATTCTGGCTGGGCACAGTGGCTCACGCCAGTTATCCCAGTACTTTAGGATGCTGAGACGGTCGGATCACTTGAGGTTGGGAGTTTCAGAGAAGCTTGGCGAAGATGGTGAAACATCCTCTACAAAAAATATACAAAAAGAATTAGCCGGGCATGGTGGCAGTTGCCTGTAATCCCAGCTACTTGAGAGGCTGACGCAGGAGAATCACTTGGATCCAGAAGGTGCAGGTTGCAGTGAGCCAAGATGGTGACACTGCACTGTAGCCTGGAAGACAGAGGGAGACTCTGTCTCAATAAACAAATGAAGAAACAAACAAATAGATTTCATACACAGATGCTTCCCAATGGATCATTCATTTATTGGTCCACTTGTGCATTCATTT
Organism: Homo sapiens; assembly: GCF_000001405.40. Taxonomy (NCBI): domain Eukaryota; kingdom Metazoa; phylum Chordata; class Mammalia; order Primates; family Hominidae; genus Homo; species Homo sapiens. The sequence continues at coordinate 49,940 of NW_016107306.1, read as the reverse complement.
TCTGCCCTCCCATTTAACCATCTGCAATATCAGTGTCCAAAGAGCAGAGGCCAAATGCATCTTGTTCACTGTTTGTGGAAGGCAGGAGAATGCTGTCCCACCCCAAAATGTCCCTGTCCTAGCCTCCATAGCTTGTGAATATCTTATTTTACATGGAAAGGAGGAATGAAGATTGCAGATGGAATTATGGTTGCTAATCAGCTGAACTTAAAACAAGGGTATCCTGAATGATTTCCGGGAGATTATGATGGATTTTCATCTTGGTGAACCCAATAGAATCCCCAAGTTTTCAAAAGATGAGGAAGAAGGGAGAGCAGCATTCAGAGAAAGAGGTGTGGTAAGGAAGAAGGGTCTGAGTGATGCCATGTGAGATGTGACCAGTCTTTGTGGGCTTTGAGGAAGGAGGAAGGGGACCAGGAGCGAAGGAATGTGGGAGCCTCTAGAAGCTGAGAAAAGTGAGAAGCAGATTCTTGCCTGGAATCCTCAGAGGGAAGGCAGCCTTGCTGTCACCTTGATTTTAGCCCAGTGAGATGCACTTCATACTTTGAGCTACAGCACTGTAAGATAATTAAAAAACCGTTTTGTTTTCACCCACGAATCTTGTGGAAATTTGTTATGGCAACAATAGGAAAAGCTTCCACAGTGCACAGCCTGAGCATGGGGCCGTGGCTGAATGAGTCAGTGAGTCGAAGTGTGCGTGCATGAGCTCTGTTCTCTGTTACAGCAAGGCTCTTTCTCTGCTGAGTCAGCCAGGGTTGCTTCATGACCTATAGGAGCTCATTCCTTGGCAAGTGGAACTTCTCTAAAACACCTCGCCCTCATCAGATGTTCCCTTCCCTTCCCTCTCTCAAGTCTCCAGGAATTTATCCTCCAGTTAGGAATGCAGGCAGAACAAACATTGCATTTTTCCTGAGAAGGATGTCAGATTGGCAATCATTCTTCTAGCTTGTAGGAGGTCTCAGCTCCATAAAATGAGAGATGAAGAGATTTCACTGAGCCCTGTGTTGGACCCAGATCCCTTTCGCTGTAGGAGTATCTGGAGTTCGGAGATGGTGGAAGACAGGGGTACAATGTCAGAGCTGTGAGATGCTGAGTCAACGCCTGAATCCAAGGTTTCCACCTCCCCAGGTTTCCAAAAGCGGATATAAGAGGGTTCTGTACTCACCGGTTTTGGAGCTTGGTTCAGTGGGTGAAGGCCAACTATTTGAAGGGTTTCCTAGAACATGAGACAGGAGAGAGGTGAGGAAATGAGGGTGTCTGTCCTCTACTCAGTGGAAATCTTTGAGGATGGTTCATGGCCAACACTCTGTTATCTAATATTGGGCCCTGGGAGTCCTGGGATCCTTTTTTCCATAATTTTTTTATGTGACGCCCACTGTCTTGAGACTTCAAGGTATAAAGAGAAAACAGGAGCATCACACTACCTGATCTCAAAATATGTTACAGAGCTGTAGTAAGCAAAACAGCATGACATTGGCATAAAGAAAGGGACATAGAACAACGGAGCAGAATGAATAACACAGATATATTCCATGCATTTACATCCAATGGTTTTTTATTTTTTCTTTTGAGATGGAGTCTTGCTCTGTCACTCAGGCTGGAGTGCAGAGGTGCAATCTCAGTTCACTGCAACCTCAGCCTCCTGGGTTCAATCATTCTCTTGCCTCAAACTCCTGAGTAGTGGTATTACAGGTGCTGACCACCATGCTCAGCTAATTTTTATATTTTTAGTGGAGACGATGTTTCATCACGTCGTCCAGACTGATCTTGAACTCCTGGCCTCAGGTAATCCACCCGCCTCGGCCTCCCAAAGTGCTGAAATTGCAGGTGTCAGCCACCAAGCCCAGCCCATCCAATGGACTTTGACAAAGGTGCCAAGAACTCACAATCAGGAAAGGACAGTCTTTTCAATAAACAGTGCAGGGAAACCTGGACATCGACATGCAGAGGAATGAAACTGCACCTCTACCTGTCACCATACACAAAAATCAAATGAAAATGGATTAAAGATGTGAGTCTAAGGCCTGAACCTATGAAACACGTAGAACAAAATATTGGGGAAATGCTCCAGGACATTTGTCTGAAGAAAGACATTTTGTTTTAAACCTTGAAAACACAAGTAATCGAAGCAAAAATAGACCATTGGGATTACCTCAAACTAAGCAACTTCTGCACTGCTAAAAATAAACCAACAAAGTGAAGAGACAACCCACAGATTGGGAGCAAATATGTGCAAACTATGCATCTGAGATGGGATTAATAACTAGAAATATAAGAAGCTCAAACAACTCAATAAAACAAATGATTTAATTGAAAAAGGAGCAGAAGACATGAAATTTCCCCACATACTAAAAAGTGCTCAGTATCACTCATCATCAGAGAAACGCAAATTAAAATCAAAGTGAGTTTTCATCTCACCCCATTAAAATGGCTTTTAGGCCGGGCGTGGTGGCTCACGTCTGTCATCCTAGAACTTTGAGAGCCTGAGGTGGGTGAATCTCATAAGGTCAGGAGTTTGAGACCAGTCTGACCCACATAGAGAAACGCTGTCTCTACTAAAAATACAAAAATTAGTCGGGCGTGGTGGAGTGTGCCTGTAATTCCAGCTACTCGGGAGGCTGAGGCAGGAGAATCGCTTGAACCTGGGAGGTGGAGGTTGTGGTGAGCCGAGATAGCGCCACTGCACTCCTGCCTGGGTGAGAAGAGCAAAACTCCATTCAAAATAAAATGAAATAAAATAAAATGGCTTTTAGCTGCAAGACAGGCAAAAGAAATGCTGGCAAGGTGGTAGAGAAAGGAGAACCCTGGTACCCTGTTGGGAGGAGTGTAAATTAGTACAGCGATTACGGAGAAAAGTATGGAAGTCCTTTAAAGAACTAAAAAGAGGTTGGGTGTGGTGGATCAGGCCTGTAATCCCAGCACTTTGGGAGACTGAGGCGGGCATCTCAGTTGAGGTCATGAGTTTGAGAGCAGCCCAGCCAACATGGGGAAACCCCATCTATACTAAAAAAAACAAAAAGTAGCCAGGCATGGTGGCGTGCACCTGTAATCCCAGCTACTAGGGAGGCTGAGGCAGGAAAATCATTTGAACCCAGGAGGCAGAGGTTGCAATGAGCCAAGATGACATCACTTGTACTCCAGCCTGGGCACAGAGGGAAACTGTCTCAAAAACAAAAACAAAACAACAAACGAAAAACTAAAAAGAGAACTTTCATAGTATCCAGCAATTTCACTACTGGGTTTATATCCAAAGGAAAGTAAATCAATATATCGAAGTGATATCTGCACTCGTATGATTGGTGCAGCACTGTTCACAGTAGCCAAGATGTGGAGTCAACCTACCTGCCCATCAGTGGATGAATGGATAGAGAGAATGTAGTACATACGCACAGTGGAGACTACTCATCCATAGAAAGAATAACATCCTGATATTTGCAGCCACATGGATGGAACTGGAAGTCATTACAAAGATTCCCATTTCTCACCCATATACAGAGCTAAAAGGTGGATCTCATGAAGGTAGAGAGTAGAATGATGGCTTCCAGAGGCCAGGAAGAAAAGGGTGGAGGGTAAAAAAAAAAAAAAAATATATATATATATAAATGTATTTATGACCACTAGACTTTACACTTAAAAATGGTAAATGTGGCTGGGCGTGGTGGCTCATGCCTGTAATCCCAGCACTTTGGGAGGCACATGCGGGTGGATCACGTGGTCAGGAGTTGGAGACCAGCTCGACCAACATGGTGAAACCACCTCTCTACTAAAAATACAAAAAGTAGCCTGGCGTGGTGGTGCGCGCCTGTAGCACCAGCTACTCAGGTGGCTGAGGCAAGAGAATCGCTTGAACCCAGGAGGCGGAAATTGCAGTGAGCTGAGATTGTGCCACTGCACTCCAGCATAGGGGACAGAGCTAGACTCTGCCTCAAAAAAAAAAAAAATGTTAAAGGTGGTAAGCTATATAGGTATATTTATCCTCAATAAATATTTCTTCAAACAAAAGTAAAGGGTGTAGGGGTTGCTGGTGATGACATCCCTGTGTGGGTGAGAGGCCAGGATGGGCTTCTGGGAAATGGATAATGTTGAGGGGCTGAGGGAACCTCTGATCTTCCCAAACTGAGCCCAGTCTCTCTCCTCTGGGTCTCTCCTGACCGTTTTCTCCATCTGCCTGTGTGCCTGGAGCCCTGGCCGCGGGCCTTCATGCAGGCCGTGTAGGAGGGTTTGGAGGTGCCCTGTCTGCCATCCTGTGCCCTGATCCCTCCCTCACACCCAAGCTTCGTCTTCTCTCTGCATCTGTCCATGCTTCTCTCCATCATCAGCAGGAAGCTCCTCAGCTAAGGCTCTAGGATCATAGGACATGAGACAGATATGGGGTTTCCTCACCTGTGACAGAAACAAGCAGTGGGTCACTCGAGTTTGACCACTCATAGGGAGAGTCACGGAAAGAGCCGAAGCATCTGTAGGTTCCTCCGTGGGTGGCAGGGCCCAGAGGAAAGTCGGCCTGGAATGTTCCGTTGACCTTGGGCCCTGCAGAGAACCTACGTTCATGGGCCTCCCCCTCCCTGGATAGATGGTACATGTCATAGGAGCTCCGGGAGCTGCAGGACAAGGTCACGCTCTCTCCTGCCAAAACCGTGGGGCCCGGCTGGGCTGAGAGAGAAGGTTTCTCATATAGACCTGGAAGGAGAAGAGGCATTTTCCTCAGGGAGGATCTTCCTTGTCACAGCTCCCTTCACCTGAGCTGAGAACTCACTCCCCTGCTCTATGACCTAATGCTCTCTCTCTCTCTCTCTCACCCTCCACCCCATCTCTCTTCATGTCTATTTCCTCCTTCCACCTTCTCTGTCTCTCTAGGTCTCTGACCTCGCTTCCCCACCTCTAGATATGTTTTCCCTTTTTGGATTCTTTTATTCTCTCTGACTCTCCTTGGATTGGTTGACTTGATGTTACTTTTTTAAATTCTAAGTTTCTCACGTTGTGTCCTGTTCATAACTTTCTGCATATTTCTATCTATTATCTGTCGATCTATCTATTTATCTATTCGGTGCCTATCTACAAATTCTCTACCTGTCATCTATATCTATATATCATCTATGTATCTATCAGTTGTCTATCTATCCATCAATCATCTGTTATTTATATGTATGTATCATCTCTCTCTCTATGATTTCTGTCTGCCTCTCTATCTGTACGTATTATCTATCTGTCTTCATCATCATCATCTCTATGTATTATCTATTAATGAATCAATCAATCATCATCTATGTATCTTTAACCTATTATCTATCATCTACCTATTTATCATCTATCTATATCTATCCATCTATCATCTGTCTTGCTCTGCCTCTCGGTCTCTCTAGTTCTCTTTGGAATCTCTGCAGTTCATCCCCACATCTCCATCTTTCTATGTCCTTGTGCCTCTCCCTCAGGACTCTAATTTTAGTGCTTTTCTCTGCTCCCTTCCATCATTCTCACCACTCCTCTGCCCTCTTTTCTCTCTCTTTATGTGTCAGTGAGTCTCTCAATCTCCTTCCTCTGGCCCATTCTCTGTGTGTTTATGTCTTTGCTTTTTGGTGTTCCTGATTTCTCTCTGTGCCTCTCAGTGATCCTTTCATATGTGGGGTTATTTGGAATGTGAGCCTCAGAATCCAGTCTGGAGACCACAAGTTCACACAGCATACAGGGGTTGGTGTTCTGGGGCCATGATATCCTGGGACGGTTACTCTCCATTACATGGAAGGCAGAGGTGTCAGAATAAACATGGCCTGTAGGTGCCACAAGGCCTGAGGCCACAGGGCCCAACTCAGGTCAGAAATATGGGTGTCCTTGGGTTCTCCTGGTAGAGAACACTTTGTGGAGGTAAAACAGAAATGAAACTTCTATCCTGTGCCAGGTCTGTGAGCAAAGTCAGCATGGAGGGACACCTCTCTCTGGGACATGTCTGTCTGTCTGTCTCCTTTAACTCTTTCTGTCTTTTCTAACTCCCTGTATGGCCCCTGTGTCTGTCCTCCGTTATGACACCTGGTCTGTACTTGTGTCTCCTGTTTCTCTGTCTCTGTTGGTACAAACCTCAGCAAGTCAGTCTCTCTCCATAAGAATACCAAGCTCATCTTCCTTACAACTACCTGGGGGTTCCAAGTCGTGGATCATTCACTCTGCAGCCCAATGACAATGAGAATGTCCGGACACTCTCACCTGTGATGACGATGTCCAGAGGGTCACTGGGAGCTGACAACTGATAGGGGGAGTGAGTAACAGAACCGTAGCATCTGTAGGTCCCTGCAAGGTCTTGCATCATGGGACCGATGGAGAAGTTGGCCTTGGAGACCCCATCATGGTGCTCTCCAATGAGGTGCAAAGTGTCCTTATACTTCCCCTCTCTGTGCAGAAGGAAGTGCTCAAACCTGACATCTGACCAACATTGCAGGATGACTGTCTCTTCTGATTTCACCAGGGGACCTGGGTGGGCCAGGAGGGAAGGTTTTCTGTGGACTCCTAAGAAGAGAGGTTGTGAGTTTAGAAGGTGTCTCTCTTTATCATCCCATCCATGGCACCTAGAATGAGTGAGGCTTCCCCTTGCTGGTGTCTGTCTCTCTCCTTCCTCTCTGTGTCTTCATGTTCTTTTCTGTGCCCATAACTCCTGGTGCAGGTCCTTCCATCTGTCTCCCTCCCTCTTCTCTGTCCCTCTGTCTCTAGTAGCCTCTGATTCCCTTCCCACTGGGCTTAGCCTCATCTCTTGGGGTGTTGTATCTATTTCACACTAACGTCTTTCCTGCTGTTTATGTGGGGGTGAAAGAGGAACCAGGATAGGCTGCACATCCAGGCTCTTATCAGCCTTGTTCAATCTCTTTTGGATGAATTGCAATCCTTGGCAGAAGGTATGAACTGATGAATAAGGCAGGCACCAGTGTCCACACACCCTGTTCCTGGTCGGGACTGGGAGCCACTCTTGCCATGCCTGTGCCTTCTCCATGGTGCCAGCTTCCATAGGCTGGCTCCTGGTGCTGGTTGGAGGAGTATCAACCCCTCCCTATGTGGATGGAGCCTGGTGGTGGCATCATCATCCCACCCTTGCTGATCTCAGGGTAGCCAACCTTCTCCTTGTTTGGTTTCTTTAATTAATTAATTAATTTTGGAGACAGAGTCTCACTCCTTCACCCAGGCTGGAGTGAAGTGGTGTGGTCTAGGCTCACTGCAACCTCTGTTTCCTGGGTTCAAGTGATTCTCCTGCCCTCAGCCTCCTGAGTCGCTAGGATTACATGCGCCTGCCACCATGCCTGGCTTTCCTTGGGTTGTTTCTTAACTTGTCCTTGACCTGGGTTCCAGTGTTGGTTTCCTGTTGCTGCTGTACAAAATTATCAGAAGCATGGAAGCAGGAGAGACCACACTGACACCTTCCAGTACTGGAGACAGAAATTGGACCCTATTTTTCCTGGGCTAAAATCAAGGCATCTGCAGGGCTTCGTTTCCTCTGGAGACTCTGGAGAATCAGTTCCTTGACTTTTCCAGCCTCTATAGGCCACCTGCATTCATGGCTCTTGGCCTTCCTCCACCTTCAAAGCTGGTGAAGACTTCCACTGGACTGCTCTAATCCCCACTCCCCTCTTCCTCCTCCTTTCATGTGCACCCTTGTGATTACACTGAGCCCAGTGGGACAGTCCAGGCTGTCTCCCCATGAGCTCCATCTTCCCCTTCAGTCCCTTCCCCTATAACATACATAGTCACAGACTCCAGGGATTAGAATGTAGTCATCACTGGGGACAATTATTCTTCCCACCACAGCACCCATTTCCCTGTATTCAATCCCCCTTTACCACAAATACAGTCAGGGCCTGCGTGATGGGACCCTCAAGGACATGCCCACCAGAAGCTCTGGGATTCAGGAGGTGGGACAAGGAGAATCCAAGACAGGAGCCCTCTGACCTATGACCACGATCACCAGGGGGTTGCTGGGTGCTGACCACCCACTGGGGGAGTGTGTGTGTGAACCCCGACATCTGTATGTCCCTGTTGTGCGGGGGTCACAGGGCCCATGAAAAGGCTGTTCCAGAATATTCTGTTGTAGAGCTCAGGGACAGGCACCCCACCTTCCTTGTACAGACTGAAGTTGTTAAACCCAAGATAAGAGTGACACCGAAGAATGACATGTCCTAGAGGCACCACAAGGCTGGGCCAGGCAGACAGCAAGGGCTTGTCCTGACCACCTTGGGGAGAAGGAGGCGCCGCCTTAGAGAGGAGGATGTGGAACTGCCCCTCCCTCCCTGTGCTCAGAAGATTCTCCTCGCTTTCCACGTTTCTATGGCTACTATCACACCTTGGTGCCCAGGGCTGAAGGAAGGACCCATCCCGCAAAGACATGGTGTCTCCCTACAACAAAAGCCTCAGCTGAGAACTTTGAGCAAGTGCTGAGTAAAGAGACTCCTACTAGATTTTAATACTGTAAGATTACTCACATAAAACAACACAGGGTAGACATGAGGTGGAGGGCATGTCCTTTGTGAGTGGATATCAGCGGATGCCTGAACGAAAATAAACAACTGAGCCCCCATCAGAGGATTTGGAATGTCAGGGCCATGGCTGTGGTTTCCCACCTCTTCTGGTAGAATGACAGCAGCCACACTGCAGCCCCTACCATCATGGAAACGCTGAAGTGTGTGAGTAACACCTTTGTCCTCAGAGGATCTGCTGTTCCTACCACTTCCCCACCACACACCCCAGCTTTGAGCACCCCAGTCTAACCCTGGTCCCCACAGAACTTGACTCTGCCAAGGGGTTGAGAGGCCAGGGAGGCAAGGTCAGAAATGTGGGCCGAGCACCCCAGGGTCCTCTCTTCCCAGTTTATGAGAGACTCCCTGACAGGACTTCCCTCCTGTTTCAGGAAAATCCTCTTATGTGGGGAGATGACAACCGAAGGTTTGGAGAAGGACTCACCCTCATGTGGCCAGGCCCCCTGCAGCAAGAAGAACCCTGGAAAGAAAGATCATGATGGACCATCCATCTGCAGGCAAACCAGGACTCCCTTGCTGCCCCCACTGGGCTGTGAGTCTTGGCAGCCAGGCCCTTCCTGGGCTGAAGTTAAACTCACCCTCAGTGCCTACCTGCACCCAAGAACAGGGCTGTCGGCTGTGCAGAGACCCAGTTTCCAGGCCCAGATCCCCACCACAAGCCCATATCTCCACTCCAGGCTGATATTTCCACCCTAGGCCCATATCTCCAATCCAGTCCCATATCTCTGCCCCAGGCCCAGATCTCCACCCTAAGCCCATATCTCCACTCCAGGCCCATATCACCTCTCCAGTCCCATATCTCCACACCCAGGCCCATATCTCCTTCCTAGGCCCATATCTCCACTCCAGGCCCAGATATCCACCTCTAGGCCCATAACTCCACTCCTGGCCCATATCTCCACTCCAGGCCCATATCTCTACTGCAGGCCCGTATCTCCACCTCCAGATCCATATCTCCACTCCAGGCCCATATCTCCACTCCAGGCCCATATCTCTACTGCAGGCCCATATCTCCATCTCCAGGCCCATATCTCCATCTCCAGGCCCATGTCTCCACTACAAGCCCATATCTCTACTGCAGGCCCATATCTCAACCTCCAGGCCCATATCTCCACTCCAGGCCCAGATCTCCACTTCTAGGCCCATCACTCCATCTCTAGGCCCATAACTCCACTTCCAGGCCTATATCTCCAACTCTGGGCCCCGATCTCCATCCCCGCACTCCCTCCCTCGATTCCCTTCCAGGACTCACCAACACACGCCATGCTGACGACCATGAGCGACATGGTGCTGTCTGTGCAGACAGGCGGCCGCGCCCCAGCTCAGCTCAGCAGCGCACAGGATGTTATTTGGCGCCCTGCCCATGCAGTTTACATGTTGACCACATCATGGGAGGGTGACGTACGCAGGCTCTTTCTACCTTGCATGAGGCCCAGTGGGTGCTCGCTCAAGAGCGGAACATGGCTTCCTGGAAATTGTTCTCACTAGAATTTACACCTAGCGTCCTTCACTATGACCAACTCAAAACACGTCTCAGATCCAACCTCTCATACACGAGATGATTGAATTCTGTGCTTACATTAAAGATTTTTGATGTATTTTTGTTTTTATCTGAGATTCAAACTCTTCTTCATATGTAATGTGCAAAATGTCTAACAGGTATTATTAACATTATCAGAGTAATTGTGACAAGAAGCCATTCTAATTTTCCTGCTTGAGTTTCTAGTACTAAACCAGAGGCATCAGAATAGCTTGAACCTGGGAGGCGGAGGTTGCAGTGAGCTGAGCTCAAGCCACTGAACTCCAGCTTGGGTGACAGAGGAAGAGTCTGTCTCAAGAAAAAAAAAAAGCAAACTAAATAACCTATAATAACAAATCAGAGGACTCAGGTTACCAAATTTTAAGGGGTTCTATAAGTTTATATAAAATGCAGCATCCTCATGAGAGGGGATACAGAGAACCACTGGACAGAAAACTGTGTCTAAAATACATCTGTGGATACACAGTCCCTTTATAGTTGACAAAGGCTGCCATGTAGTTTAAGGTGGAATAGAATATTTTCTCAACAAATAACACAGGACCATAGGGTTACACGTAGGAAAAAATAAATCTAAACTTATCCTCACACTATAAAAACACTTCTTATTTTTTATCTTGTTGTTGTAAATTTTTTATGCTTTATTTTTAAGATTGACAAATAAAAATTATATACCATGGTCCTTCACTATACCTGGGTGATTGGTTCCAGGATCCCCATTCAGATACCAAAATCTGCAGATGCTCAAGCCCCTTGCATGAAATGGCATAGTGAAGCTGGGCACCGTGGCTCACGCCCGTAATCCCAGCACTTTGGGAGGCTGAGCTGGGTAGATCACAAGGTCAGGAGTTCAAGACCAGCTGGTCCAACATTCTGAAACCCCGTCTCTACTAAAAATACACACACAAAAAAATTTATCTGTGCAGGGTGGCACGTGCCTGTAATCCTAGGGGAGGCTACTGAGGAGGCTGAGGGAAGAGAATCGCTTGAACCTGGAAGGCGGAGGTTGCAGTGAGTTGAGATCACGCCACTGCACTCCAGCCTGGGTGAGAGAGTGAGACTGTCTCAAAAAAAAAAATAGCATAGCAATTGCATAGAACCCATGCACATCCTCCTGTATACATGAAATCATCTCTTGATTACTTATAATTCCTGACACAGCCTACACGCCACTCAATTTGTGTCGATTCAACATAGTTTTTTGCTTTTTGAAACTTCGGGGATTTTTTTTCTCAAAATATTTTTGATTTATTGCTGATTCAATAAACATGTGTAAACCCCAGAGATATGGAGGAGTGACTGTCTATTTATAGTAGTATGAAAGATGATGTGTTGATACGTGTCCCTGTGGAGATGAGACTAACAAGGCCTATGACTCTACAAATGTTTCATCGTGGAATGACTCTGCCAGCTTTCCAGATCTGCAGAGAGTAAGAATATCACTTGTTCATCTGATTCACCATCCTTGGAACCTCCTATGTGCTGCATCTTTGGATGGAAACTGGAGTCTCAGAGACAATTCAGGCTCCACCCTGCTTCCAGAAGCTCAGAGTCCAGGGGTGAGAACCCAGCGGAGAACAGATGGGGTTATGTGGACGTGGTAATGATAACACCGGAAGCCTTAGGCAAGAAAAGAGTCCCATTGACGAAACCATGAGGGCAGACATGTTTACTTGAAGAATAGAAAACTACATTGAAATTATAAAAAAAATTTATAAGTTTTACTGCTGACAGAAGGCTGAAAGATACTCTGAGGAAAGGTGGAACAACATGAGGAAAGGTGGAATAGCATGTATCTAAGTGCCGTGTTAAGAGGGAGCCTCTTATATGTTTGGAATTGTGAGTTCCTCAGTGTGATCGCAGCCTCAAGTAGACTAGGAAGTAAGCCAGTTAGGTTGGAGAGGTGGGCAGGGGTCAAGTGAAATGGAGAATTGTGGGCTAAGCAAAGGAGTGTGTTTTCTCTCCAGCAGGCAGTGGGGACCTTAGACATTTGTAAGCAAGAGAGAGGCATGTTCAGATTCGTGGTGTGAGGAAGAGCGATGCCCTAAGATGCAGACTCACGCCTTCAGATTCCAGCTGCTGGTACATGGGAGCTGGCAACCCGGTTTTGAGACAGGGCTATTGTCTCCCTAGAAGATCCCATCAAGGCCTGACTGTGGTGCTGGTGGACAGAAGACAACTTTGGATCTGCGCTCAGCATTTGGAAGTTCCGTGTTACACGCTGGTATCTGTTGGGGGTGTCTTGGGCCTCTGAGAAGGGCGAGTGATTTTTCTCTGTGTGAAAACGCAGTGATTCAACTGTGCGTATGTCACCTCCTGAGGGTCTTGTTCATCAGAGTCCTGGAGGGAGGGAAATGCTGAGTGAGGGAGGGTGCTCACATTTTTCAGGACTCTTTGGGAATAAGACTAGCCATGAGGCTGGGCTGAGGAGCACCTACCTCCCTGTTCACTGTTCTGTTCCCTGCAGGCTCTTGGTCCATTACAACAGCATCTGTAGAAGACGGAAGTCGTCAAAACAGCTCGGAGGGCACTTCTGGGTCCTCATTTCATAAGCAGATACCAACATGCAGGGGGAGGCCATAGGTGCCTGAGGTCCCTCAGTTGCCAACAGCAGACTCAGACATTCTATCTCTCTGAGCTCAAGGACCCATCCCATGAATAGCTCTGAGTTCCCATCCCATTGATTCTGTCTCCCACTTTCTGCCTGTCATGGAACCTTCTCCTGGATGTGAGTGGCTGCAGGGGATGTGAGGATATGGTTCAGAATCAGGCAATGGTCTGTGAGCTGAAGGCAGGGGCAGGGAGTCTGGTGCTCTCTCTAGAAAGTCCTGCCTCTGTGGCTCCTGCCTTGGGTCAGGGACCATCCTGCCTGTAAGGAACACACACCTGAGTGCTCCCATCCTGCTTCCCCACATGGCCCTGAGCTCTCTGGCTTCTGCTTCGTGAGACTTACTCTTTTTGTTGGCACACCAGCGATGAAGGAGAAAGAAGAGGAGGATAGCAAAGGGGATGATGACCACTGAGGTCCCAATCAGAGCGTGCAGGTATCTGGAGTTACCTGGAGGAAGACAAGACACCAATAAGAAGCTAATCATAGCAGTTCCTCTATATGAATTGTCTCACATTTCTTGATTGACAGGTAACCACATACAACGTCTCTTTAGGACAAGCACCCAGATGGCGGGAGACCTAGCTTCCTCCTGCTTTCTCAGTTGTAGTAACCATAGAACGTGCTGAGGATACAACTGCTTTAGTTTAGATGTTTGACCACTTCAAACCTCACATTGAAATGTAACCCCCAGGGTGGGAGGTTGGGCCTCTTGGGAGGTGTTTGGGTCATGGAGGTGGATCCATCATGAACAGATCAATGCTGTCCCAAGGAGATGGGGTTAGCAAGTTCCCCCTCTATTAGTTCCTGGAGAGCTGGTTGTTAAAAAGAACTTGGAAGCTCCATCGCTCCCCCTCCCCCTTGCTCCCTCTCTTGCCGTGTGATCTCTGTGGTCTCTGCACAGATAGACCCTCCTTCCCTTCTGCCAGAGCGGGAGCAGCCTGAGGCCGTCACAAGAAATAGATGCTGGTGCCATGCTTCCAGTACAGCCTGCAGAACTGTGAGGCAAACACATTTCTTTTCTTTAGAAGTTACCCAGGCTCAAGTGTTCCTTTAGAGCAACAAAAATGGACTAAGACAGCAAAGTCCTGAGATCAGGAGGAACATCCCAGAACAGCCTGGGCTGTCTTCCTGTTCTTCCTGGAGGAGGACGTCATGCAGTGCTTTAGCTGAGTGCTTCCTGTGGCTCCAGGGTACAAAACCCAGGCTGGGCTGCTTTTTGATTTCCCCCAGATACACTGCATATGGGGTGACTCCACATGTCTCGAGCAGCTTTTCTGAGCCTTGAGGGACTGGCTCACATTGAAATGTAGGCTTCTGTTGTCACTCGCTGCTTATCTGTTAGTAATGAACCTGCCTGTGTAATGTGTTCTCTGTGTGTTCTGTCTCCCTGGAGTGACGGTGAGTGATAGGAATTGGTATAGGCCCAGGTACATTCCAGGAGGTGTTTAGAGTCTTCTCTGGGAAGACTGGATTGGGATTGATACACAGCGAATGTGCTTTACAGTTTCTACCACCACAACCCTCTTGACTCAAAAAAATTACATTCTCCAAGAAAAGAAAGAAAAAATGAAATCAAGATAAAAAAAGTGAAGTAGAACTGACTTAAATCAAACAGCCATGAAATAATGATGTAGCCCAGGAACAACATGCTACTTTTTGTGATCTGCTGAGACATATATTAGGCTGCTATTCCACCCGAGAAGCACGGGGAAGGACCGCCCTCTCCGTCGTTTATTGTTTCAATACAGCCTGTCCTTCTGTGAGTTAGTACGAAATGTGACCAGGGGCTAGTGCTGGCACTGGTCTCTGAGTCCAAGATCTGAGCTCACTCCAAAGAGTATTAGTGTTTACCTCCCCATGATCTATCTGTATCTCCATAGGTGATTGGAAGTAGAGATGAATTGGGGGATTTGGGTGAAGGGGCAAGTTTTATGCCATGAACAGAGCACGTTCTCTATTCCAGGACCTGTGCTGGTGGGTTCAGGAGGCTTTCACATTTTCCATATGATCCCAAGCTCACAGAAAGCCAAATAAGGAAGAGGTTTAACCTGATTGTTTAATGGATAAGATAAAGGGTCAAAGAATTAAACACAGAGAAATAGAAAAATGATGGTTGGTATCCAGTTGCCTTTGTAATTTCTGTGTGTCATAATTATGTATGTTTTATTTTTATTTTTTGAGACAGAGTCCCCCTGTGTCAGGCTGGAGTGCAGTGATGCGATCTCAGTTCAACCTCTGCCTCCAGGGTTGAAGCCATTCTTCTGCTTCAGCCTCCCCAGTCGCTGGGATTACAGGCAGGTGCCAATGCACCAGGCTAATTTTTGTATTTTTAGTACAGACGGGGTTTCACCATGTTGGCCAGGCTGGTCTCAAACTCCTACCCTTAAGTGATCTACCCGCCTTGGCCTCCCAAAGTGTTGGGTTACAGGTGTGAGCCCCCATCCACAGTCTTGTATATTATATTATACTAGGTCCCTTCATTTGCACCACCCCTCATGTGTCTATCGCTCCTCTGCCAGGTATTGATTTAGATGTAGAAAAAAAACACATCTCAGAAAGAAATTAATGAAACAAGGATTAAACTACTAGGAAAAATCAAACCCAGCAAGCCCTCCCTGCAAATGATTCTACCTCACAAGCATAGCTTATATCCATCTTTCATTCATTTAGTGTGTAAATCAACCCTACGTTTCACCAGTGGGGCGGGAATTGCCTTTTCCACGGTCTCCTAGATTCCAGTTACGCACCTGGGCCTCCCTTATTTTCATGTCGGTCACTGTTAATCAGGTAGGGATTCCTAGTTAGCTCTGAGTTGAATCCAATGGCTGTGAGTATCAAACACACGCTCCTTGTTCCTCCTTAGTTTCCTGTGTACCCAGTGTGCTCTCCATCTCTCTACAGTTGTCTTGTCATTCTCCCCACTTCATTCCCAGCATTTGAGGCAGAGCCTCTTCCTTGAACTAAGAATGTTTCCACCTTTGTGCCTTCACGGCTGAGAGCTCAGTGTGGAAAATCCTTCCGCCAATCTTCCAAGGGTTGAATCCATTTTTTCCATTAAGGTCACAAATATTATCTGATCAGTGAGACCTTCTCTGTCACCTGAAATTATATACTCAGCATTATCTATTACTTATTTTAAATCCTGGCTGGGCGCAGTAGCTCTCGCCTGTAATCTTTGCACTTAGGGACGCTAAGGCGGTGGGATCACTTGAGATTGGGAGTTTGAGACAGCCTGCACAACATGGTGAAACCTCATTTCTACTAAAAAATATACCAAAAAAATTAGCCGAGTGTGGTGGCGCACAGCTGTAATCCCAGCTACTCGGTAGGCTGAGGCAGGAGAATTGCATGAACCCAGGAGGCAGAGGTTGCAATGAGCTGAGATTGTGCTACTGCACTCCAGCCTGTGGAACAGAGAGAGACTCTACTCAAAAAAAAAAAAGAAAACAAAACACACACACACACACAAAAAACCCCAGATTTGGTGCACAGATGCTTCCCAATGGATCATTCATTTATTGGTACCCTTGTGCATTCATTCTCTGCCCTCGCATTTACCCATCTGCAATATCAGCGTCCCAAGAGCAGAGGCCAAATGCATCCTGTTTACCATTTGTGGAAGGCAGGAGAATGCTGCCCCACCCCCAAAATGTCCCTGTCTTAGCCTCCATAGCTTGTGAATATGTTATTTTACAGGAAAGGAGGAATGAAGATTGCAGATGGCATTACGGTTGCTAATCAGCTGAACTTAAAAAGAGGGTACGCTGGATGATTTTAGGGAGATTGAGATGGATTATCTTGGTGACCCCAATAGAATCCCAAAGTCCTTAAAAGATGAGGAAGAAGGCAGAGCAGGATTCAGAGAAAAAGGTATGGGTAAAGAAGAAGAGTCTGAATGATGCCATGTGAGACGTGACCAGCCTTTGTGGGCTTTGAGGAAGGAGGAAGGAGGAAGGGGACCAGGGGCCCAGGAACGTGGGAGCCTCTAGGAGCTGGGAAACGTTAAGGAGCAGATTCTTGCTTGGAACCTTAAAAAGAAATCCAGCCTTACTCTCCCTTTGATATCAGCCCAGTGAAATGCAGTTCATACTTCTGAGTTACAGCACTGTGAGATAATTAAGAAAAACATGTTTTCATCCACGAAGCTTGTGGAAATTTGTTATGGCAACAATAGGAAAAGATTCCACACTGCACAGCCAGAGCATGGGGCATTGGCTGAACGAGTGAGTGAGTGGAAGTGTCGTGTGCATAAATAAGCTAAATTCTCTCTTACTGCACGTCTCTTGCTCTGCTGAGTCAACCAGGGTTGCATCTGGTACACTGCTGATACGAATGTAAATTAGTACAGCCATTACAGAGGAGAAGAGTATGGAAGTTCCTCAAAAAATAAAATGAGGTCGGGCACAGTGGTTCATGCCTGTAATCCCAGCACATTGGGAGGCCGAGGTGGGTAGGTCACTTGAGGTCAGGAGTTGAAGAGCAGCCTGGCCAATATAGCGAAACTCTGTCTCTACTAAAAATATAAAAATTAGCCGAGTGTGGTGGTGGGAGCCAGTAACCCAGCTACTTGGGAGGCTGAGGCTGGGGAATCTCTTGAATCCTGGAGGTGGAGGTTGCAGTGAGCCCAGATGGCACCACTGCACTCCAGCCTGGGCAACAAGAGTGAAACTGTCTAAAAAAAACAAAAACAAAAACAAAAACCATAAAACAAAATGTAAAAAGACACTTCCAGAGGATCTAGCAATTCCATGACTGGGTGTAAACCCAAAGGAAAGGACATCAGCGTATCGAAGTGACATCTGCACTCCCATGACTGTTCCAGCAGTGTTCACAGTAGCCAAGATGTGGATCAACCTACCCGCCCATCAGTGGGTGAATGGATGGAGAGAATGTGGTACACACACACAATAGGGACAACTCATCCATAGAAAGAGTAACATCCTGTCATTTACAGCCACATGAATGGAACTGGAGGTCATTACAAGTATTTCCATTTCTCACTCATATGCAGGAGCTAAAAGGTGGATCTCACAAAGGTAGAGAGTAGAATGGTGGCTACCAGAGGCCAGGAAGGGAAGGGTGGAGGGTAAAAAAAAAAGAATACTAATTAATTAATTAATTAATTTTGAGAGAGTGTCTCTCTCTGTTGCCCAGGCTGCAGTGCAGTGGCATGATCTCAGCTCACTGCAACCTCCGCCTCCTGCAATTAAGTGCAACTCCTGCCCAACCCTCCCAAGTAGCTGGGACTACAGGCATGTGCCACCATGCTCGGCTAATTATTATCATTATTATTATTATTTTGTATTTTTAGTACAGATGGATTTTCCCCATGTTGGCCAGGGTGGTCTTGAGCCCCTGATCTCAAATGATCCACCTGCCTTGGCCTCTCAAAGTGTTGGGATTACAACCGTGAGCCACCGTGCCCAGCCTATAAATGTATTTATGAACAGTAGACTTCACACTTAAAAATGGTAAAGGTGGTAAATTACATAGGTATATTTCACCTCAATAAATATTTCTTCAAACAAAAAGAAAAGGGTGTAGGCGTTGCTGGTGATGACATCTCTCTGTGGGTGACAGGCCAGGATGGGCTTCTGGGAAGTGGGTAAGGTTGAGGGGCTGAGAGAACCTCTGATCTCCCCAGGCAGAGCCCAGTCTCCCTCCTCTGGGTCTGTTCTGACCTCTTTCTCCATCTGCCTGGGTGCCTGGAACCCTGATCAAGGGCCTCCTTGCAGGCCATACAGGAGGGTTTGGAGGTGCCCTGTCTGCCATCCTGCGCCCTGACCCCACCCTTACACCCATGCTGTGTGTTCTGTCTCGGCATCTGTCCATGCTTCTCTCCATCATCAGCAGGAAGCTCCTCAGCTATGGCTCTAGGATCACAAGACATGGGACAGGCATGGTGTTTTCTCACCTGTGACAGAAACGGGCAGTGGGTCACTCGGGTCTGACCACGCGTGGGGCAGGGCACGGAAAGAGCCGAAGCATCTGTAGGTCCCTCCGTGGGTCACAGGGCCCAGAGGGAAGTTGGCCTGGAATGTTCCATTGACCCTCAGCACCGCAGTGAGCCTAAGTTCACCGGCCTCTGCCTCCCTGGATAGATGGTAAATGTCAAACAAGCTCCGGGAGCTGCAGGACAAGGTCACATTCTCTCCTGCCTGAACCGTGGGGCCCGGCTGGGCTGAGAGAGAAGGTTTCCCATATAGACCTGGAAGAAGAAGAGGTGGTTTCCTCAGGGAGGTTCTTCCTTGTCACAGCTCTCCTCACACCTGAGCTGAGAACTCACTCCCCTGCTCTATGACTTAATGCTCTCTTTCTCTCTCTCACCCTCCACCCCCATCTCTCTTCATGTCTATTTCCTCCTTCCACCTTCTCTGTCTCTCTAGGTCTCTGACCTCACTTCTCCATCCCTAGCTATGTTTTCTTTTTTTGTACCATTTTATTCTCTCTGACCCTCCTTGGACTGGTTGACTTGATCTTCCTCTTTCTTTAATTCTGAGTCTCTCACTTTCTGTCTTGCTCATAACTTTCTGCATATTTCTATCTACTATCTATTGATCGATCTATCATTTATCTATGTATGTATCTATCATCTATCATCATCTGTGTATCTATGACCTATCTCTCTGTTATCTATCATCTATCAATCAATGTATGTATGTATGCATCTATCCATCTATCATCATGTGTTTATCTGTCTTTCTATCTCTCTATATCTATTTATATATCATCTGTCTGTCTTTCTACTTGTCTATCTATATCATCTATCAGTCATTCATCATCTATTTGTCTATCACCTGTCTCTCTATTATCTATCATATACCTTTTATCTTTCATCTATCTATATCTATCTATCCATCTATCATCTGTCTCTCTCCATCTCCTTGTCTTTCTCTGCCTCTCAGTCTCTCTAGTTCCCTTTTGGAGTCTCTGCAATCCATCCCCACATCTTTATCTTTCCCTGTCTTTGTGCCCCTCCCTCAGGGCTCTGATTTTAGGGCTTTTCTCTGCTTCCTTCCATCATACGCTCCACTTCTCTGCCCTCTTTTTCTGTCTCTTTATGTGTCTGTGAGTCTCTCAATTCCCTTCTTCTGGCTCATTCTGTGTGTGTGTTCATGTCTTTGCTTTTTGATTTCCCTGATTTCACTCCGTGTCTCTCTGTGGGCTTTTGTTCTCAGTAATCCTATAACATGTGGTGCTATTTGAATATGAGCCTCAGAATCCAGTATGGGGACTCCAGGAACTCACAACATACAGGGGTTGGTGTTCTGCTCCCTCACCTGGGGCCATGGTGTCCTGGGACGATGACAGCTCCACTGCACGGAAGGCAGAGGTTTAAGAATAAACACAGCATCTGTAGGTGCCACCAGCCTGGGGCCACACGGCCCAACTCAGGCCAGATAGATGTGTCTCTTTGGGTTCTCCTGGGAGAGAACACTTTGTAGAGGTAAAACAGAATGGAACCTTCTAACCTGTGCCTGGTCTCTGAACAAAGTCAGCATAGAAGGACACCTCTCTCTGGGATATATCTGTCTCTCTGTGTCTTCTTTACCTCTTTATCTCTTTTTCTAACACCTTGTATGGCCCCTGTGTCTGGCTTCTATGTTATGACATGAGGTCTGTACTTGTGTCTCCTGTTTCTCTGCCTTTGTTGGTACAGACCTCACCAAGTCACTTTCTCTCCATAGGAACCCCACACTCATCTTCCTCATGACCACCTGGGGCTTCCAGTCCTAGATCATTCACTCCATCTCCCAGCAAGGGTGAGAGGCAGGTCTGTATTCTCTCACCTACGACCACGATGTCCAGAGGGTCACTGGGAGCCGACAACTCATAGGGTAAGTGAGTGACAGAACCAAAGCATCTGTAGGTCCCTGCAAGGGCAGGTGTCATGGGACCCATGGAATAGTTGACCTGGGAACCCGCATCGTGGAGCTGTCCAACGAGGCGCAAGGGGTCCTCAGTGATCCCCTCTCTGTGCAGAAGGAAGCGCTCAAACCTGACATCTGACCAACATTGCAGGATGACCGTCTCTCCCGATTTCACCAGGGGACCTGGGTGGGCCAGGAGGGAAGGTTTTCTGTGGACTCCTAAGAAGAGAGGTTGTGAGTTCAGAAGGTGTCTCCCTTTCTCATCCCATTCATGGGACCTGAAATAAGTGAGGCTTCCCCTCCATGGTGTCTATCTCTCTCCTTCCTCTCTGTGTCTCCGTGTTCTTTTGTGCCCATAACCCCTGTTGCAGGTCCCTCCATCTGTCTCCCTCCCTCTTCCCTGTCTCTCTGTCTCTAGTAGCCCTGATTCCCTTCCCACTGTGCTCAGTGTCACCTCTTAGGCTGTTGTATCTGTTTCCCACTAATCTCTTTCCTGGTGTTTATGTAGGGGTGGAAGAGGAACCACGACAGGCTGCATGTCCAGGCTCTTAGCAGCCTGAATCAATCTCTTTTGGACAGATTGGAAAGGCTGGCAGGAGGTACGAACTCATCAGTAAGGCAGGCATCAGTGTCCCTGTTCCTGATGGGGATTGGGAGCCTCTCCTGTCATGTCTGTGCCTTCTCCATGGCCCCAGCTTCCATAGGGTGGCCCCTGGTGCTGGTTCCAGGAGCATCAACCCCTCCCTATGTGGATCGAGCCTGGTGGTAGCATCAGTATCCCACCCATGCTAAAATCAGTGTAGCCAACCTTCTCCTTGTTTGGTTTCTTAACTTGTGCTTCACCTGGGTTCCTGTGTTGGTTTCCTGTTGCTGCTGGAGAAAATTGTCACAAACATGGGGCAGGAGAGAATACAATGACCCCTTCCACTTCTGGAGAACAGAAATCGGACCCAGTTCTCTCTGGGCTAAAATCAAGGCATCTACAGGGCTGTGTTTCCTCTGGAGACTCAGGGAAGAATCAGTTCCCTTGACTTCTCCAGCCCTTAGAGGCCAACTGCCTTTGTGGCTCATGGCCTTCCCCCATCTTCAAAGCCCGCTGTGGCTGATGGAGTCTCCCTCCCACGACGTTGCTCTAACCCCACTTTCCTCTTCCTCCTCCTCTCATGAGGACCCTTGTGATTACTCTGAGCACAGCAGGACAGTCCAGGCTGTCTCCCCATCGCAAGGTCAACTCATCAACAACCTGAGCTCCATCTTCCCCTTCAGTCCCCTGCCCTATGACATAAATAGTCACAGGGTTCATGGATTACCATGTAGCCATCACTGGGGACAATTATTCTTCCCACCACAGCAACTATTTCTCTGTACTGAATCCCCCTTTACCCCAAATACAGTCTGGGCCTGGATGATTGGACCCTGATGGACGCCCCCACCAGAAGCTCTGGGATTCAGGAGGTGGGACAGTGAGAAGCCCAGACAGAAAGCCTCTGACCTGTGACCATGATCACCACAGGGTTGCTGGGTGCCGACCACCCAGTGGGGGAGTGTGGGTGTGAACTGCAACATCTGTAGGTCCCTGCATGTGCTGGGGTCACAGGGCCCATGAGAAAGCTGTTCCGGAATATTCTGTTGTAGAGCTCAGGGACAGGCATCCCGTCTTCTTTGGACAGACTGAATTCGTTAAACCCAAGACGAGAGCGACACTGAAGAGTCACATGTTGTCCTTCAGACACCACAGTGCCGGGCCAGGCAGAGAGGAAGGGCTTGTCCTGACCACCTGGGGGAGAAGGAGGCACTACCTTAGAGAGGAGGATGTGGAGCCGCCCCTCCCTCCCTGTGCTCAGAAGATTCTCCCATTTCCACGTTTCTAAGGCTCCTACCACACCTGGGTGCCCAGGGCTACAGGAAGGACCCATCCCGCATAGACATGGCGTCTCCCTACAGCAAGTGTCAGCTGAGAACTTTGAGCAGGTGCTGAAGAAGCGACTCTTACTAGATTTTAACACTGCAAAATTACTTACATAAAAGAACACAAGGTAGACACAGGATGGAGGGCATGATCAGCTAATGCATGAACCATAATAAACAACTGAGCCCCTATTAGAAGATCTGGAATGTCAGGGTCATGACTGTGGTTCCCCCACCTCTTAGGTAGAATGACAGCAGCCACATTGCAGCCCCTACCGTCATGGAAACGCTGGAGGGTGTGAGTTATGCTCTTGTCCTCAGAGGCCTGTTGTTCCTTGCACTGCTTCTCTCCCTTCCTCTGCCGGTGACACCACTTCCTCCCTGCACACCACTCCTTTGAGCACTTCAGTCTCCCCCTGGGTCCCCACAGACTCAGCCAAGGGAAAGAAAGGCCGGGGAGGGCTAGGACAGAACTGTGGCGAAGCTTCCCCTGGCTTCCTTTTCCTAGTTCATGAGAGATTCCCACATGGCTTCCCATGGTCAGCCCATCAGTCAACCCCCTGTGTCGCCTGCCTCCCGTTTCAGGAACATCATCTTATGTGGGGAGATGACAACCTAAGGTTTGGGGGAAGGACTCACCTACATGTGGCCAGGGCCCCTCCAGCAAGAAGAACCCTGGAAAGAAAGATCATGATGGATGATCCATCTGTACATCACCTCCAGGCCCATATCTCCACTCCAGGCCCATATCTCCACCTCCGTCCTATATCTCTACTCCAGGCCCATATCTCCACTCCAGGCCTATATCTCCACCTCTGTCCTATATCTCTACTCCAGGCCCATATCTACACTCCAGGCCCATATCTCCACCTCCAGGCCTGTATCTCCACCTCCAGGCCCGTGTCTCCATTCCAGGCCCATATCTGCACTCCAAGCCAACATCTCCACTCCAGGCCCATATCTCTACTCCAGGCCCATATCTACAGTTCCAGGCCCATATCTCCACCTCCAGGCCCATATCTCCACTCTAGGCCCATATCTCCACCTCCAGGCCCGTATCTCAATTCCAGGTCCATATCTGCACTCCAAGCCAATATCTCCACTCCAGGCCCATATCTACAGTTCCAGGCCCATATCTCTACTCCAGGCCCATATCTCTACTTCAGGCCCATATCTACAGTTCCAGGCCCATATCTCCACTCCAGGCCCATATCTCCACCCCAAGCCCATATCTCCACTCCAGGCCTATATCTCCACTCCAGGCCCATATCTCCACTCCAGGCCCATATCTCCACTCCAGGCCCAGATCTCCACCCCAGCGCTCCCTCCCTCGATTCCCTTCCAGGACTCACCAACACACGCCATGCTGACGACCATGAGCGACATGGTGCTGCCGGTGCAGACAGGCGGCTGCGCCCCAGCTCAGTTCAGCAGCACACAGGATGTTGTGAGGGGCTCATGCAGTTTACATGCTGACCACATCATGGGAGGATGACGTATGCAGGCTATTTCTACCTTGCATGAGGCCCAGTGGCTGTTTGGTCAAGAGCGGAACATGGCTTCCTGGAAATTGTTCCAACTAGAATTGACACCTTGCATCCTTCACTATAACCAACTCAAAACACGTCTCAGATCCAATCTCTCATACAGGAGATGACTGAATGCTTGGCTTACATTAAAGACTTTTGATGTATTTTTGTTGTTTTTATCTGAGATTCAAACTCTTCTTCATGTGCTATTTTCCCCAGGCTGTTCTTTGACTTCAGAGTTCAAGCAATCCTCCTGCCCCAGCATTTCTAGCAGCTGGCAGTATGTCACAATCTGCCACACCCAAGTCACAACTTTTAGAACTTTTTTTTTTTTTGAGACGCAATCTCACTTCGTCACCCAGTTTGGAATGCAGTGGTGAGACCTCGGCTCATTGCAGCCTCCACCTCCCAGGTTCACGCAATTCTCGTGCCTCAGCCTCCTAAGTAGCTGGATTTACAGGCACCCACCATCACGCCCACCTAATTTTTGTACTTTTAGTAGAGAGGAGGTTTCTCCATGTTGGCCAGGCTGGTCTTGAACTCCTAACCTCAAGTGATCTGTCTACTTCAGCCTCCCAAAGTGCTGAGATTACAGGTGTGAGCCACCATGCCTGGCCGGGACATTCTATATGTGTGCGTATGTGTGCGTTTATATACATATGGTTATACACACACACACACACACACACCCTAAGCACTCACATATATAGTTGTTTCAAATTTTAAAAAATATAAATTTTGTATTTTTCTTTCTTTTTCTCACATTTGTGTTTCTATGACACCATATACATATTGAATTTTATAGTTCTATTTTATTCTTTTGGATTGCAGTTTAATAGTCCATACATAACTTTATCAACATGTAATTATCCACTCTTTTTATCATGGACATTTGTGTTGTTTCCGGATTTTCTCTTTTATAACTCGGGCCTTGATAATCGTGTTTCTGTGTGATCCCTTGCATACATATGCTGAATTAATTAGACATATTTACCTAGGAATGAAATTATTGGTTTTGGGTGCAAGTTGGTGTTGAGCTTAACCAGGAAGTGCCAAAATATTTCCATCATGACCAAATGTGGCCTGGAAAGTTTTTTGGGGTCAATTTTCCTGTTTCTTCTAAGGAACAAAATTGATGTCACTGATTTTTCTGTCCTGTTTGTCATTTATGAATATACGTACATATGCACGTATATATTTGCTTGCCATTTTATGTTTTTCCTCGACGTTACTTTGGAATTAATTTGCTGATGTGTAGTATTTCTGCAAGCGAAAGTTACCTATTTACTCAGCTCTTCCTTCTTTTCTAACACAGACATTTGAGGCTTATTTTCCTTTAACACTGTTCTATCTGTATCCCCAGTCATTTGCCGAGATGTGTTTTCATTTTTAATTGATACAAAATATTTTCCACCTTTCTTTGAAATGTTTTTCTTCCACTCATTGTTTATTGCTATGTGTGTTTATTAATTTTAAAATATTTGATAATTTCCCCAGCATTTCCTTGTTGTACATTTATAATTTAATTCAACTGTTTCATCTATCATATTACCTATGATTCAGCATTTAAAAATTTATTTTGGTGAATGTTCCAGGGGTGCTAGACAAGTTTGTGGATTAGGAAGATTTGAGGTGGATGTTTTCTAAATGTCAGTTAAGAAAAAAATCATTCAAATGTTTTTCTTTATTTAAAAAAAATAGAGACGGGGTCTCACTATGGTGCCCAGGCTGGTCTCAAACTCCTGGCCTCAAGTGATCCTCCCATTTTGGCCTCCCAAAGTGCTAGGATTATTGAAATTATTAAATGTTTCATATCAACACCCAACCTTATGCACCCGCCGCCTACACAAATGTTTTTCAAGTCTTTCATATGCTTAATAATTTTCTGTGTACTTGTTCTGGAAGTGAGGTGAATGTTGCTATCTCTAGCTGCAATTTGGATGTGATTGATTATGTTTTGAATTATGCCTTTAATTTAATGTGTTTTGAGGTTCCAGCTTTAGGTGTGTAGGCATTTAGGATTATTATGTCTTATTTATGAATTTGCCTCTTTGTCATTATGAAGTACTCCTCTTCATATCTCCATATATCTCTTCTTTGTATGTGCATGGTGAAATATTTCATTCTTTGAGTTAAGAAACTTCTATTGAGGAATACTTTTTATTACAAACATTTACCTATTCTATGTATACAACTGACTAGAAGCATATTTTGCACTGGGCATTATCATGACAATGTAATGTCATTCTTTCAATATTTACATCTTGTGGATTAGTATTTGAAGTGCAGCTTATGTAGACAGCATAAGGTTGGGTGTTGATATGAAACATTTAATAATTGCACACGTATTTGCCTCTTGGGATACTTCCACTTTTTTGAATTTCAAGTTACTAAATGGTATCATTAATCTTTGCTTCAAGAGCTTAACATTTATTGTAGAACAATGCTTCATGTAATAAATTGTGAGACATTTTTAATGGCACCTTTATTGCAGGAAAATGTTTTCCTTTTCAGGTTGAAAGATTCTAGTTTGAAATATTTTCTTGTAGCACTTTAAAAATGTTGGTCCACCTATTTCTTACTTTCATAGTTTTGAATACAAAGTTTGCTGTCATTCTTGTATTTCTTCTTCTGTTTTTTATTTATTTATTTTTGACAGAATATCTTGCCGTCTCACCCAGGCTGGAGTGCAGTGGCATGATCTTGGCTCACTGCAACCTCTGCCTTCCAGGTTTCAGCAATTCCTGCCTCAGCCTCCTGAGTAGCTGGGACTACAGGCATGCGCCACCATACCCAGCCAATTTTTTTTTTTGTATTTTTTTTTTGTAGAGATGAAGTTTTGCCATATTGGCCAGAACTCCTGACCTCAAATGATCCACCTGCTTTGGCCTCCCAAAGTGCTGGGATTACAGGTGTGAGCCACTGTGCTCAGGCTATTTATTCCTTTTTATATAATATGAATTCACATTCATACATACCAGGGGTTAGGATTTCAACAAACGTTTCTGGGGGAGACCACTCAAAACACAGCACTCATCCTTGGTTATTTCCAGCCATGGAGCCTGTATCAATATCCTGGTGAATTATCTAAGCTGTCCACCTACCTACCCCAAATCCTCATGGTCACATAAAAGGCTAGTATAGTATAATAATTTTTCTTTCCCTGCTTATCTACAGTGATGAAGAAACGAATATTCAAAGGGAAAAATCTTAGCTTTAGGTATAGGGTAATTCTTCTTCCTATTTTTAAATAACTTCAACCTTTACTGTAGATTAAAGGTATGCATGCAGGTTTGTTACATAGGCATATTGTGTGACTCTGAGGTTTGTGGTTCCAACAATGCCATCACCCAGGCAATGAGCATAGAATCCAACAGGTGTTTCTTCAGCCTATACCTCCCTACTCCTCCCCCCATCTGTAGTCCTCGGTATCTGTTGTTTCCATCTTTATGTTCATGTGTATTCAATGTTTGGTTCTCAGTTATAAGTGATAACATGTGGTATTTGGTTTTCTGTTCCTGGGTTAGTTCACTTAGGAGATTGACCTCCTGCTACATTCATGTTGCTGCAAAGGACATGATTTCATTATTTTTTATGGCCATGTAATGTTCCATGTGTATATGTAGCACATTTTCTTTAACTAATCCACTGTTGGTGAGCACTTAGGTTGACTGCAAATCTTTGCTATTCTGAATTGCACAGCAATGAATATACTAGTGCATGTGTCTTTTTGACATAGTTAATTACCTTCCTTTTGGTATATACCCAGTAGTGGGATTGCTTGATTGAATAGTAGTTCTATTTTAAGTTATTTGAGAAGTCTCCAAACTGCTTATCACATTGGCTGAACTAGTTAACATTCCCACCAAGAGTGTATAAGTGTTCCCTTTTCTCCACAATCTTGTCAGCATCTGTTATTAAAAAAAACAAAAAACTTTTTAGTAATTGCTTCTGCTTCTCTGATTGTTGTGAGATGGTATCTCACTGTGGTTTTAATTTGCATTTCTCTGATGATTACTGATAATAAGCATTTGTTCATATGTTTTTTGGCCATGTGTACATCTTCTTTTGAGAAGTGTCTGTTCATGTCATACTTAATTGAGGTTTTTTGGTTTTCTGCTTGTTGATTTGTTTACATTCCTTATAGATTCTGGATATTAGAACTTTGTCAGATGCATAGTTTGCAAATATTTTCTCCCAGTCTGTAGGTTATCTGTTTACTCTGTTGATACTTTCGTTTGCTGTGCAGAAGCTCTTCAGTTGAGTTAGGTCCCAATTTCTGTCTTTGTCACAATTGGTTTTGGGGAGTTAGCCATAAATTCTTTGCCAAAGTCTATCTTGAGAAGGATATTTCCTAGGTTTTCTTCTAGAATTTTAATATTTTGAGGTTTTACATTTAAATCTTTAAACTATCTTGGGTTAATTTTTGTATATAGTGAGAGTTAGGGGTCCAGTTCTATTATTTTGCATATGAGTAGTCAGTTATCCCAGAACTATTTATTGAAGAAAGGGTACTTTCCACATTGCTTGTTTTTGTCAATTTTTTCAAAGATGATTGTAGGTATGTAGCCTCATTTCTGGGTTCTCTATTCTGTCTCATTGGTCTATGTGTCTGTTTTTGTAGTAGTATCATGCTGTTTGGGTTACTATAGCATTGTAGTATAGTTTGAAGTTGGGTAATGTGATGCCTGGGCTTTGTTCTTTGTGCTTAGGATTCCTATGTGTATTCAGGCTCTTTTTTTGGTGCCAAATACATTTTAGAATAAATTTTTATAATTTCGTGAAAAATGACATTGCATTTTGAAATGGATAGCATTGAGTCTGCAATTTGTTTTTGGAAGTATGGCGATTTTAACTATTTGTTCTCCTAATTCATGAGCATGGAATATTCTTCCATTTGTTTGTATCATTTCTTATTTCTTTCAGAAGTGTTTTGTAGTTCTCCTTGTAGAGAATTTTCACCTTCTTGGTTAGATGGATTCCTAGGTATTTTATTTTCTTTGTGGCTAGTGTAAATGGAATTGTGTTCTTGATTTAGTTCTCAGCTAGAATGTTAGTGGTGCATAGAAATGTTACTAATTTGTGTACATTTTTTTAATCCCGAAACTTTATTGAATTTGTTTATCAGTTTCAGGAGCCTTCTGACAGAGTCTTTAGGGTTTTCTATGTATAAAATTATTTCATCAGCAAAGAGAGACAGTATCACTACTTCTTTTCCAATTTTAATGCCTTTTATTTCCTTCTCTTGCCTGATTGCTTTGGCTAGGACTTCCAGTACCATGTTGAATTAAAATGGCGGGAGTGGTCATCCTGGTCTTGTTTCGGTTCTCAAGGGGTATGGTTCCAGCTTTTGCCCATCAATATGATGTTGGCTGTGGGTTTGTCATAGATGGCTCTTAATATTTTGAGGTATGTTCCTTTGATGCCTATTGACAGTTTTTATCATGAAGGGATGTTGGATTTTACAGAAAGCTTTTTCTGCATCTATTGAGATGATCATATAGTTTTTGTTTTTAATTATGTTTATGAGGTGAATCACATTCGTTGACTTTGTAGGTTGAACCAACCTTGCATCCCAAAAATAAAGCTTACTTGATCATGTGAATTAACTTTTGATGCACTGACAGATTCAATTTGCTAGCATTTTGTTGAGGATTTTATGTCTATGTTCATTAAGGATATTTAGTTGTAGTTTTCTTTTTTTCATTATGTCTCTGACAGATGTTGGTATCATGGTGATGATGGCTTCATAGAATGAGTTAGGAAGAAGCCCCCACTCCTTGATTTTTTCCAAAAGTTTCAGTAAGATCGGTATCAGTTCTTCTTTGTATGGCTGTTGGATTTTGGCTGTGAATCCATCTGGTCCTGGGCTATTTTTAGTTAGTAGGGTTTTTATTACTGATTAAATTTCTGAACTTGTTATTGGTCTGTTCAGGTTTTCACTTTCTTCCTGGTTGAAATATGATAAATTTTGTGTTACCAGGAATTTATCCATTTCTTCTAGGTTTTCTAGCTTGTTTGTATAGAGGTGTTCATAATAGTCTTTGACGATCTTTTCTATTTCTGTGGGATTGTTCGTAACATTGTTTTGTCAGTTCTATTTGTGTTTATTTGGATCTTTTCTCTTTTTCTTTGTTAATCTAGCTAACAGTCTATGAATTTTGTTTATTTTTTTTCAAAGAAAAACTCTTGGTTTTATTTATCTCTTGTATGGACTTTTTGGTCTCAATTTATTCAGTTCTCTCTGACTTTAGTTATTTCTCATCTTTTGCTGGCCTTGGGTTTGGACTGTTCCTTTTTTTTAATAGTTCCTCTAGATGCAGTGTTAAGTCACTAATTTGAGATCTTTCTAAACTTCTGATGAGGCATGTATTGCTATAAATTTTCCTCTTATCACTGCTTTAACTGCATCCCAAAGGTTTTGGTAAGTTTGTTTCTATTTTTATTAATTTTAAATAATGTTTTGTGATTTCTGCTTTAATTTCATTGTTCACCCAAGAGTTCTCAAGGGGTACAGTTCCAGCTTTTGACCATTCAATATGATGTTGGCTGTGGATTTGTCATAGATGGCTCTTAATATTCATTCAGAAACAAGTTGTTAAATTTCCATGTTTTTCTGTAGTTTTGAGAGATCATCTTGGTATTTTTTTCTATTTTTATTGTGTGCCTTGTTATGATTTTGATTCTTTGAATTTATTGAGACTTGCTTTGTGGCCAGTCTTAGAATATGATATGTTTTTTGTGTGTGCAGATAAGAAGAATCTATATTCTGCAGTTGTTGGGTGGAGTACTCTGTAGATGTCTATGAGGTCCAATTGGTCAAGTGTTGTCTTTAAGACCAGAATTTCTTTGTTAGTTTTCTGTTTTAGTGATTCATCTGACGTTGTTAGTGGGATACTGAAGTCCCTTACTATTATTGTGTGGCTGTCTAACTCTTTTCATAGGTGAAGAATAACTTGTTTTATGAATCGGGGTGCTCCAAATTTGGGTGCATATATATTTAGAATAGTTAAGTCTTCTGTCAAATTGAACCCTTTATCATTTTGTAATGCCCTTCTTTGTCCTTCCTGATTGCTGTTGATTTAAAGTGTGTTTCATGTGATATAAGAATAGGAATGCCTTCCTTTTTTTTGTTTCCTGGTTGCCTAGTAAATATTTCTTCATCCTTTTACTTTGAGCCTGTGGGTGTCATTACATGTGAGATGGGTCTCTTGAAGACAGCAGGCAGTTGGCTCTTGGCTTTTTATCCACGTTGCCACTCTATGCCTTTTATGTGGGGAATTTAGGCCATTTACATTTCTTCTCCTGATATATCCTTTTTATATTTTTATGATTGCCTTTTAAAATATATTGAATGGTTGTAATTCCAGGGAAATGTCTTTCAGAACAGTATTTATTCCCATCTACATGTTTTGGAGAGTGCACTAGGGGACATTGAAGTTTATTTCCTGAAAAGAGTTTAATTTTAAAATGTATTTTATTTAATAACTCAATGATTCAGGGAATGTCTAGGTATTTCAGAGATTGTTTTAGACAGTTTGTTTTCTTGTGATATGTGACCACTTCATCTAAGCTGAATAATGTCTTCATAATGTCCACTTAGAATCTTTTGAATTCTGTAGGATCTGTACTGATGTCATTGTTTCCTTTCTGATATTGGTAATTTTCCTGGGGTAGGATTCTTAGCTCCTCCTGAGGTCCTGCCTCTAAAATTCAGGGAACAATGAGTCAGATTAGTACTCTGATTTCAAAGGGAAAGCTGATCATCTACCATTTTTTGTTTATGTAAATGGACACATTAACATCCCTTGTCTGAACCTTAGTTACCTTGTTTGGAGCATTTTGCTATAAATCTCACTTCTCAGAGTGGTTGTGGGGCTTGATGTGGCTGGGGTATGGGATGGCTTAAACATAATTTATTTCCAGACCAGGTTAAGGCATGAAGGGGTTGGGACTTGTTAGAATCCTGTTGTCGGACTCCACAGTAAGGGTAGACATTTGAGGCACCCAATCAAAAACCTCAGTTGTTCCTAGCACTGAGAAATTTGATAGAATGTTTCTAAAACATTATTCATGGTCTAATGCACAAAAAGTAAAGTGATAGCCCTGGAAGTAGACAGGGAACCATAAGAAAAAAGAGAGAGCAAAGCTCAGTGGTCACCAGTGCCTGGGACCATCAAGGGGTTATTAAGGAGGAAGTTTCCACCTCTGTGGGGAACAGAAGAGGCTCCCTAGGGTCCACACACACAGGGAGTGAGCCAAGACTCTGGGCGAGGCTGGAAGCTCTGGGTCTCCTTCTGTGAGATTTTCTTTTTTTTTTTTGAGATGGAGTCTTGCTCTGCCACCCAGGCTAGAGTGCAACGGCGCGATCTCGGCTCATGGCAACCTCTGCATAAAGTGGTATGTATTTAAGGCATGCATTAGACAAATTACTAAGTATTTACTAGATAAGAAAAAATTATATCTGAATCTTTTCAAATTGCCGTCTTATGCATTATATTCTCTTTTTATAGTGCAATTTCTTAATAGTTAATGCCAGAAGATTTTTTTTTCTTCCTTTCTTTCTTTCTTTTTTTTTTTTTTTTGAGACAGAGTCTCACTCTGTTGCCAGGCTGGAGTGCAGTGGCACGATCTCGGCTCACTGCAACCTCCGTCTCTCGGGTTCATGCCATTCTCCCGCCTCAGCCTCCTGAGAAGCTGGGACTACAGGCACCCTCTACCATGCCCAGCTATTTTTTTTTTTTTTTTTGTATTTTTAGTAGAGACGGGGTTTCACCATGTTCGCCAGGATGATCTCTGTCTCTTGAACTCGTGATCCACCTGCCTTGGCTTCCCAAAGTGCTGGGATTACAGGCATGAGCCACTGCACCTGGTCGCCAAAAGATATTTTTAAAAACCTAAATGCCACTTGAAATGAATAAGACCCTCAATAATTCATGGGATATACATGTGAACTTATGACATATGATGAAATAAGCAGGTTACAAAATTGTAATATATCAAGCAAGGTAGAAAGCCATGGCAGAAAAAGAGACAAGCATTTTCAAGATAAGGAATGAAAGAGGGGAAACAGTACTATTGATTTTACAGATTTTACAAAGATATCTTAGGTGTGTTTTCCTAAATAATAAATGTACCCTCCTTTTGACCTTTATGTAATGAAATAACCATGCACACATTTTCAAATAATACTTCATTTACTTGACTTTATGCTTGAAAATTGAAGTATGGTGCTGTTTGTTATTTTCATTTATGCATTTTACTACCTTGTAATATTCCACTGAGTCTATTTACCACACTATGTTTATTTTTTTCGTAGGTGGACTTTGGTATTTTATAGCTTTGGCTAATAGGAACAGCATTCCTATAACAGTTGTGAGTGTATCATGACACATAAGTAGACATTTATCTCTAGGGTACATAATTAAGTACATAATTAAGAAGGGTCACAGCCATGTGCCTCCTCTTTTTAACTAGATAATTCCAATACACTTCCTTAATTGATTAAAGCAATTTGTACTCTTACTATTAATGTACTAAAATTCTACATGTTCAATATTCTTTCCAAAAAATGATTTTGCTACTTTTTTCTTTTCTTGAGACTGAGTCTTGCTCTATCACCCAGGCTGTAGTGATCTCGGCTCACTGCAACCTCCGCCTCCTGGGTTCATGCGATTCTCGTGCCTTGGCCTCCCAAGTAGCTGGGATTACAGGCAGGCGCCACCATGTCTGGCTAATTTTTGTATTTTTAGTAGAGACAGCGTTTCACCATGTTGGCCAGGCTGGTCTCGAACTCCTGACCTCAGGTGATCCTCCTGCCTCGGCCTCCCAAAGTGTTGGGATTACAGGCATGAGCCACCACACCCGGCCTATTTTTTTCTTTTCCCTCCATTGTGCTATGATTTTTGACATTACAATTTTACTGAAACTACACCATAAGAATGAAGCAGAAATTATTATAACCTTTAAATAAACTTTACAACTGGTTCATACTCGTGTGAACGACAATTCTTTTGACTACTTCCCAACTGTGCATTCAATGGCGTCATATGGGCACCCTGAAGTTGGCCATAAAGGACGTATTTATACCACACTAATCAGCAAATACCATAAATCTGGGGCTTTATATGTTCAGAGTTTTCTTAAGAAAATAATTTTTTCAGAGAGCCAGTTTAACAGAATACCATGAGGCTGAGCCTTCGAGCGTTAGTGTGCTCATTCTGAGAGATGATATTTCTGGACAAAGTACACAGGTATCATCCGATGAAGAGTGAAGGGAATTCAGGGTCCAGAGAGGGTGCTAGGGCATCATTTCAGACTCATATTTCCCTTTTTTTTTTTTTTTTTGGAGATGGAGTCTTGCTCTGTTGCCCAGGCTGGAGTGCAGTGGCAAGATCTTGGCTCACTGCAACCTCCGCCTCCCGGGTTCAAGCTATTCTCCCGCCTCAGCTTCCTGAGCAGCTGGGATTACAGGTGCTCACTGCCACACCCAGCTAATTTTTGTATCTTTTAGTAGAGACAGGGTTTCACCATGTTGGCCAGGTTGGTCTCGAACTTCTGACCTCAAGTGATCCGCCCACCTCAGCCTCCCAAAGTGCTGGGATTACAGGTGTGAGCCACTGTGCCTGGCCTCAGACTCATGTTTCAAAGTCCCAAATACAAATCTGCCCACCTATTCCAGTTATTTAATCCAGATCTATGCTCAGAACTGAAAAGATGGAGAATCAATAGTTCACTTTAGAGAATGCGGTAGTTGGAAACAAAGACAAATGTATTACATGACAGTGGACCAGAGCACGTGATCGCAGGGGTGTGGATGCAAACCCACCATGGGGGACGTGCCTTCACATCACAGAGAGCGAAAGGAAGGGAGGGGCAGACACGGAGGATCCACAACAGCAGGACTGAAAGCACTGCCATTTAATGGAAGTTTAATGGAGGAAGCGTTCTCTACAGGCACCCAGACATCTTCCTGAACCTGACCCAAGCCTCCCCTTCTCGACTTTCTCAGTAGACGGTTTCCCGAATGATGGTCCAGACTTTCTTCCAGAACCTCCTAGGACTATCAGATTCATTGCCAAGGCTCTGGCACTCTGAAGGGTGCATTGTTCTCTCATGTATTTACCTCCTTGCTGCATCTTGGGGACTTCTCTAGCTGTGCCAGTCCTAAAGCAGCAGAATCCCGAGGACCACCAGGACCAAGCCAGCCACAGCCACGCGGATGAGATTCTCCACTGTGTAATCCTGGGGGTGTGAGGCTGGGGATGGTGGACCAAGAGGTCTCAGAGGTCAGGGCAGATCAACATCACCCGGGACCCCTGGATGTCCACCCAGGGCACCCACCTCCCCTTCACAGGACCTGACCCTCTGTGCCAGCCCCATAACCGAGAGCATCTCCTTACACACCAGTCTTGGAGTCTGTCTTGTTTTGCGATGGGCTGAGGGTCTCAGCTGCTCCTGAGAATCAACCAAAAAAGGGGGAGGTGTGTGAGGAGTTGAAGAGACTTAAGCCAACATGTCCCTCAGTTGCTGCATTCCTTTGTGTCTACACTTCTCCTAACTGCTCTGTAGTTGTGTGATAGAACCTTTCCCTGCCGTGGCAGAGGTACATTCGCATACATACATACATATATGCATAGGTGTAAATATGTGTGTATACATAATATGTGTTATGCATATGTGTATACATAATATGTATTATGCATATGTGTATAGATAATATGTATTATGCATATGTGTATGCATAATATGTATTATAAGATATAGTGTGAGTATATATAAATATATAATATATAAGATATATAATAGTGTGTGTATACATATAAATATATAATAAGATATGTAATAGTGTGTGCATATATAAATATATAATATATAATAAGATATATAATAGTGTGTATATATAAATATATAATACATAATATATTATAAGATATATAATAGTATGTATATATAAATATATAATACATAATATATAAGATATATAATAGTGTGTGTATATATAAATATATAATACATTATATATTATAAGATATATAATAGTATATATAAATATATAGTACATAATATATAATAAGATATATAATAGTGTGTGTATACATATAAATATATAATAAGATATGTAATAGTGTGTGCATATATAAATATATAATATATAATAAGATATATAATAGTGTATATATATAAATATATAATACATAATATATTATAAGATATATAATAGTATGTATATATAAATATATAATACATAATATATAAGATATATAATAGTGTGTGTATATATAAATATATAATACATTATATATTATAAGATATATAATAGTATATATAAATATATAGTACATAATATATAATAAGATATATAATAGTGTGTGTATACATATAAATATATAATAAGATATGTAATAGTGTGTGCATATATAAATATATAATATATAATAAGATATATAATAGTGTATATATATAAATATATAATACATAATATATTATAAGATATATAATAGTATGTATATATAAATATATAATACATAATATATAAGATATATAATAGTGTGTGTATATATAAATATATAATACATTATATATTATAAGATATATAATAGTATATATAAATATATAATACATAATATATAATAAGATATATAATAGTGTGTGTATATATAAATATATAATACATAATATATATTATAAGATATAATAATGTGTGGGTAATATAAATATATAATACATAATATATAAGATATATAATAGTGCATATATAAATATATAATACATAATATATATTATAAGATATAATAATGTGTGGGTATATATAAATATATAATACATAATATATATTATAAGATATAATAATGTGTGGGTATATATAAATATATAATACATAATATATAAGATATATAATAGTGTATATATAAATATATAATACATAATATATATTATAAGATATATAATAGTGTGTGAGTATATATAAACACATACATATATATTTGAAGTGAGAAGAGTATTATATAATTTAGAAACAAACAAGTTTGTCCTCCATTTTCTTGTGGTTAATGTAATTATTATCAATAAATCAGAAGAGATCATTTCGGAAAGGATTGAAAGGGAGTGTGTCTGTGGTAAGTTAATAGGAACTAAAATTAGCATACCCAAACCAATAGCTTTCTCATCCATACGTAACTAATTTTAGAAAATAGAAAGGAATCAAAGACTTTCAAATTATTCAAGTAGTAAAACAATGCTTAAAATTCACAATGTCCACAATTTTTATGAATACAACTTCAAGCATCTGCTAACTGTATAAAGTTTAATTTTAAATGTATTGGATACAAAGACATTATTAATGAGAAGTTATTCTCCATCATGAATGCACATATTTAATTTAATCCCAAAGAAAATCAGAGCACAGTTATTTTACATCATAACGCTACCTAACAAATTAAATGTGTAAATTATAAATGCCAGCATTGCTTTGAAATCTTCAGAAACAGAAAGAGAAACTAGATATGTGGACATAAAAAATAAAGGACAGAAAGGAATTGCACACGAGGTTTGCTGTTGAATAATTTGCCTGCATTGCTGCAGTGAGCAGGTGCATGATCTCCCCTTCGTCTCAGGTATGCACTGAGTATTTTGGGGCCGCCAGGGGAGCCCAGGTGGGGAGTGGGTGGGGCCTCCATCTTCTACCCTCAGCCTAAGCATGATTCCTCCAAGGTTTCTCCATATCTCATTTCAGCCCTCCCTGGCCTTTAGCCCCATCTGAGGTCTCTGGGGTGGGAGCCCAGGATTAGGAGGTCCCTGACTATTTCCACCCTCTCATGGGCTGGGCCCTCCCCTGCCGACCCTCCCCCTTTACTCCCCTCTTTCCTTAGCGTCCTGAGCTCTCCTGGGGGCAGGGCCTGAGCTGAGGTTTGAGCTCAGAGAGGACAGGGTCAGCGGCCTCACCTGAGACCACGAGCTCCAGGGGGTCACTGGGGTGAGACAGCAGGTAGGGGAAGAATCTGCGTGAGCTGTAGCACCTGTAGGTCCCCGCGTGGGCTGAGGTCACAGGACTCATGGGGAATTCAGCCTGGTGCTGCTGAGCTTGGTGCTCTGATCTCAGACGCAGTGGGTGATGGGCTGCCCCCTCCTTGGTCAGAAGGAAAGTGTCCAACTGCTCCCGTGACTGACACAGCAGGGTCACGTTCTCTCCTGAGGCCACCGTGGGGCCCGGCTGCACCGAGAGGGAGGGTCTGCCACGGATCTGTCCTGGAGAGAAGAAGGATGGGTGAGGGGCTGCCCCACCTCGTTCTGAGCTGACACCTCCCCAGGCCTCTCCCTGGGACCCTCAGTGTCTCTGTCTCTGTTTTCTCTGAGTCTCCCCCTCCCCGCCCATCCCCTGTCTCTGTCTGTCTCTCCGTCCCTTAGGACCCCCACCCCTCATCCCGGCCATCACCACCTGGGCTCCCCCAGCAGGGCCTGTGCGGAGCCTGGGTCCCTGACTGAACCTGCTGGGCTCCTCACCTGCGATCAGGATGCTCAGGGGGTCACTGGGGGCCGACCACTCGGAGGAGAGGTTGTGTGCACCGTAGCATCTGTACTGGCCCCCGTGGGAGACCCTCACAGGGCCCAGGGTGAAGTTGGCCTGGGAGAGCCCAGCCTGGGGCTGCCGGCCAGAGCCCTGGACGAGGTCATGTCCCCCCTCCTTGTACAGAGTGAATTTGTCATAGCCGACATCAGAGCCACACTGGAGGGTCAGATTCTCCCCAGGGGCCACGACAGGGCCCTGCAGGGTCAGGAGGGAGGGCTTCCTAGACACGCCTGGAGGGAAAGAAGAGTCGGGACTAGGAGGGCTGGTTCCTCCCACACCCCTTCCTTCTCCCCTCCTGGCCCTGCAGGTCTCACTGTCTCTCACACTCAGTGTCTCTGGGCTCAGGAGTCCCAAACTTCCCTTGTTCCACCCTCCTACATGGGGCTCCGTGAGAGTAAGTTCTCAAAAATAAATAGGGCAAGGAGGAAGACATCCATACCTAAGACCAGGATCTCCATGGTATCACTGGGTTCCGACCACACCCAGGGGAAGTTCGTGTAATGCCCATAGCATCTGAACATCCACCGGTGACTGGCAGCCACACGGCCCACAGGGAACAGGGCCAGGGACAAGGGACAGCCCCTTGGAGAGTTCCTGTGAGTCCAGCATCCAGGAGAGCTTGTTTTCTCCTTCCTCAATCAAAATGAACCTGTGAAATCCCACCCTTGAGCTACACTGGATGGTCACGTTCTCTCCTGAGGTCACCACAGGGCTCGGCAGGGCTGAGAGAGTGGGTTTTCTGTGGGCTCCTAGGAGAGAAGGAGACACTGTCTTAAATGGGGCTCACGCGTCCCACATCATCCCCCAGGGCTGAGTTATTAGAACGGAGATGCCCTTGAGAGCTGACCCCCTTCCTGCAGGCAGAGCCTGGGGCTGGGACCCCTGAGTGTCCTCTTACCTGTCACCACCAGCTCCAGGGGCTCGCTGCGCTCTGACCAGCCTGCAGGGCTGAGATAGTGACAGTGGTATCTCCCTGCATGGTGCTCTCTCATGGATGGGATGAAGAAGTTGGTCTTGTTCCTGGGCTCTGGTGGGCTCTGTTGGTACCAGGTCATGGGGTTTCCTTCCTTGGTGAGATAGTAACCCTGGGTATCCAGGGTCCCCTGGCACCAGAGGGTCATGGGGCTCTCCCAGGTAATCACAGAGCCTGGCTCAGCCCAGAGGCTGGGTTTGGGGAGGGTCCCTGGAAGAAACCACAGGCTGGGGTCCACAGACCTCCCCCGCTCCTCATTCCCAGCTCAGGTCACAGACCCTCTTGATTTTCTCACCCTCAGTTCAGAAGCCCCTGAGATGAGAGTCCAGGTGCTGAGTGTGAGGTCAGGCATGGGAGGTTAGCAGAGACTCACCTGCAAGTGCTTGGGCTTTCTGGCCCAGACTCAGCCATGGAGAAGAGTTTCCTGTGGGGGATTTGGAACACAGAGGTGTGGCTGCTTCCCTTCCTGTTGGAGCACCAGTAGCCACTGGAGCCCTGAGGCTCTCTGGTGAACAAGGCTGCTGTGGGACCCTCCCCACCTCAGCCCAGTGCCCCTCCTGTCCCTCGTCTCTCCACCACTGACTGAGGCACAGAAGAACAGTGAGGATGGACACCATGATGCCTGCTCTGCGTGCTCCAGCTGTGGGACAGGTGACCACATGGCCCTCCATGACAGACAGATGCACGGATGTGGTTAAGTCAGAGCCTGCTGCCGCCTGCCTGGGTCCCCACAGCTGTGAACCCACAGGAAGTGGACAGCCCCTTGCTGGGCCTGTCTCTTATTCCCCCCCCAGTGCAGGGGCTCAGGAGGACCCAGGCCCTCTGCACACATCTCAGCCCAGACCTGAGGTGTCCCCTGATTGCCAGGGATCCTTTGTCTGAAAACCTGCCCGTGGAGGGTGGACCCAACATCATATCTATGTCAGCTCCCAACTTAGCTGGGTCTAAACTGAAAACACAGCCCTTATTTTCTCAGAGCCTCCACTCATGACATCGGCTTTCTTTTTCCCCACTGATGCAAAGACAAATATTTCCCAGCAGAAAGTCATCCTGATCTGGAGAGACCCATTTCCTGCGTTCAGTAAATAAAGTCAGTTTCATTAGGGGAGGCTCTGGGAAAATAAGGGGATGCAGACTAGCAGAAGATGAACATTTAGCTACTTGTTTCTCAATTAATTGATTTATTACCAAAGAGAGAGAAGTGGAAACATGAGAATAGGGACCATGACTAGAATGTGGTTGAGGGAATGGTTTCTATCTTATTCCCTGGCAGAGAACTAAGGGATAAGAATGAGAAAGCTGGCTGGGTGCAGTGGCTTACACCTGTAATCCCAGCACTTTGGGAGGCCGAGGCAGGAAGATCACAAGGTCAGGAGTTCAAGACCAGCCTGACCAACATGGTGAAACCCCTGTCTCTACTAAAAATACAAAAACTAGCTGGGTGTGCTGGCATGCGCCTGTAATCCCAGCTACTAGGGAGGCTGAGGTGGGAGAATCGCTTGAACCTGGGAGGTGGAGCTTGCAGTGAGCCGAGATCGCGCCACTGCACTCCAGCCTGGGCAACAAAGCCGGACTGTCTCAAAAAAAAAAAAAAAAAAAAAAAAAAAGAAAGAGAGAAAACCCAGCAGTGAGAGGTAGTTGTGAGAACACACTAAAGAGGAAAGATAATCCAGGGCTGGGAGTGGTGGCTCATGCCTGTAATTCCAGCACTTTGGGAGGCTGAGGCTGGCAGATCACAAGGTCAGGAGTTCGAGACCAGCCTGACCAACATGGTGAAACCCTGTGTCTACTAAAAATGCAAAAATTAGCTGGGTGTGGTGGTGGGTGCCTGTAATCCCAGCTACTCAGGAGGCTGAGGTGGGAGAATCGCTTGAACCCAGGAGACGGAGGTTGCAGTGAGCTGAGATTGCACCACTGCACTCCAGCATAGGCAACAAAGCCAGACTCTGCCAAAAACAAAAACAAAAACAAAAACAAAAACAAAAAACAAGAAAGCTCAGTGAGAGGTGGTTGTGAGAACACACTAAAGAGGAAAGATCATTCAGGGCTGGGAGTGGTGACTCACGCCTGTAATCCCAGCACTTTGGGGGGCCACAGGCGGGTGGATTACCTGAGGGCAGGAGTTCAAGACCAGTCTGGCCAACATGGTGAAACCTCGTCTCTACTAAAAATACAAAAACTAGCTGGGTGTGATGGCGGGTGCCTGTAATCCCAGCTACTTGAGAGGCTGAGTCAGGAGAATCTCTTGAACCCAGGAGGCAGAGGTTGCAGTGAGCTGGGATCGTGCCACTGTACTCTAGCCTGGGTAACAGAGCAAGGCTCTGTCTCAAAAAAATAAAAATTAGAAAGAAAAAAGGAGAAGGAGAAGAGGAAGGAGACAGAAAGGAGAGAAACATCCCTGAGGTGGAACATTACATGCAACATGGAGTAGGCAGGGAATCCGATAGAGCACTGAAACTCTCGCTGGGTACGGTGGCTAACATCTGTACTCCCAGCACTTTGGGTGGCCGAGGTGGATGGATCACCTGAGGTCAGGAGTTTAAGACCAGCCTGACCAACATGGTGAAACCCCATCTCTACTAAAAATACAAAAGGCTGGGTGTGGTGGCTCACGCCTGTAATCCCAACACTTTGGCAGTCTGATACAGGCGGATCACATGAGATCAGGAGTTTGAGACCAGCCTGGCCAAGATGGCAAAACCTCATCTCTACTAAAAATACAAACATTACCTGGCTGTGGTGGCAGTCGCCTGTAATCCCAGCTATGCAGGAGGCTGAGGCAGGAGAATCGCTTGAACCTGAGAGGTGGAGGTTGCAGTGAGTCAAGATCGTGCCATTGCACTCCAGCCTGGCCAATAGGAGCAAAACTCCATGTGAAAATAAAATAAAATAAAATAAAATATAATAAAATAAAATAATAAATCAAAAAAGGACTGGACATCTCCTGTGGGTTGTCAGTGAATGGAACTAAGCAAGCCACCGCTCTTTCCCTTTTGTCCCGCAAGTGTCTTTCTTGGCCTCCAGGAAGTGAGTTCCATCATGTCAGACCCTATGTTTGTTCCTGCTGGGTTCACTGAGGCTCCTCCCTTTCCACCTGTGGCTCCCCATGGGTTCCCAGTCCCCAGCCAGTGTTGTGAATCGAGCCAGGAAGACCAGCCCTATCACACCCCTCCTGATGGAATTCCCACAGTGTCATCCTGGAGAACAGGGGCTGGGGGCTGGGGTAGGATCAGAGACCTTTTCATGTGGGCCAGGCCCCTCCCTCCACAGGAGCTCTGACACGAAGCTCATCACCATTCATTTCACCCTGACGATATTCTTCCTGCCCAGACACCCCCGTTCTCCCTATGTCATCATGGGCACCTCAGTGAAATCCATGGTTGAGGGTCTCTGTCACTTACTCTGCCCTCTTCTTGGAAAATTTCCTTGGATCCTTCCAGAGCCCTTCCTGAGTGTGCTGCAGGGTCTCTGCCACATGACACACTCTCAGGAACCCTCATCCTCCCCTTAATCTACTGCGCCCACATAGCCAGGTGCAGGCTCCGTTTCTTCATCTTCCCTTCCCCACAGGCCCCGATGGAGAGTGGATTAGACTCGCTCCTGAGTAGGGACTCAGGTCACTCTGACCCCTTCCTCCCTGTGGACGAGGCCTCTGTCCCAGAGCTTTGGAGGCTGAAGGGCCTTGTGGATTCCCGCACTGGCCACAGTCTCCGATGCAGATGGGGAACTGGGGACCTGGGAGGGGTTGCCTAGCCCAAGGCCACATAGCTGGGCGGTGGCACAGCCTTCACTCACACAGGGACATTCCATCTTCCCAGGGACTTCACACTGGAGGCTAAGAGCCCCACTTTGCACACCACATTCAGGGGTAGATTCTGTGTGTGACTAACAAGTTCTCTTAGGGTTCCGAGGTAACAGGACAGCAAATGGATGAGTGAGAGTTTCCCTCACCCCACTGAAGTAGGACCATTCTCTGTGGAGGGTTGGTCCCCTGACTTCCTCTACTCTGTCATCTCCCTAGTGACTGATAGGGGTCCTGGGGTCTCTTCCCTGGAATCCCATGAGGGACAATTCCTTTCCTGAAGGGAAGGTATAGAGAGGACTAGCAGGTGCCTGGTGATGGAAAGTCCCCATAATCAAGAGACATTGCCTCCCCCCCCCGGCATGATAAATATCTGGGTTTCCAAATGGGAAATCTGTCTGTGATGAGAGCTCAGGAGGGGCTTCTGGAAGATGGAAAAGGGCTAGAGGCTGAGGCCACTGCTTATCTCCCCACACTGTATCTGGCTTCACCTCCTGTGTTTGTCCTGACCTCTTCCTTCACTCACCTGGATAAGTAGGACCCCAAAGTGGGCCTCCAGACAGGAAGCAGTGGAGAGTGTGGAGCTGCCCTGTCTACCACCCTACACCCTGACACCACTGTCATACTCAACCTCTCTTTTCCTCTTTGTGTTTCTCATTGCTTCATTTTGTCTGGAATCCCTAAGATTCCCATGTCTCCAGCAGGCTGTCCCTCAGACGTGGCTATATGATTTAGTGTTTCACAGGGCATGCAGCAGGCATGGGCTACCCCCAGTAACAGTGGTCATCTAGGGCTGATCACTCACAGGCAGAGCCATCGACAGAGAGCTGCAGCATCTAGAGGTCCCATCACCAGCCCCAAGACCCAGAGAGAAGTTGGCCTGAATGCCCCACTCTGTCTCTGCACCCCAGTGAGCC
This sequence comes from Homo sapiens, assembly GCF_000001405.40. NCBI lineage: Eukaryota > Metazoa > Chordata > Mammalia > Primates > Hominidae > Homo > Homo sapiens. The sequence goes on along the minus strand of NW_016107306.1, from coordinate 5,716 downwards.
AGTGTCCAGGGGCCTTACCTTCCTCGTTAGAAGGCACAGGTCAAATGAGCTTCCAGAGCTGCAGAGCAAAGTCACATTCTCTCCATCATTACTTACTGCAGGGCACAGTTGAGCTGAGAAGGAAGGTCTCTTGTAGACGCCTGGGGAAAAAAATAGTCCTTGACTGTCGAGCACAAGCCTTACCCAGCCTATCCTCAGGGCATGAAAAAGGCATTCTCTCCACCTGTTCTGGGGAGCACACTCTGTTACCCACTCGTGCCTCTCTCCATCTCAGTTCTAGCTCTACAAGCTGGCTCATCATGTGTGTGTTTTCCTGTCTGTCTTTGCTCAGCTTTTCCTTGAATCTCTTGCTTTTTGCCGGTGCGTGTGTGGCTTTCTGCCCTTAGAACCATATGAGATTTAGGGTTCTCCTGGCACATAGAACTGTTTACTTTGAGGACCCTCAGAAAACATAGCCCTGGGCTAAGGCTCCCTGTCCTGGAACTAGAAGGTTATGGGTGTCACCATTTCCCAACAGCATGTCTGAAAGTGCCAGAATCTTCAAAGAGTCTGCAACATGTTTGTAGGATCTTTATAGGGTCTGATATTGCAGGGACCAACCAAAGTGCCCTCACACCCCAAGACGCTGGAAGTGACCCCTTGCTGAAAGTGGTTGGAAGTTTCACATAGAAGTTTGAGTTAAGCCACATTGCTGAGCAATGCCTCAGCATCCCAGTCTTCATCCAGACCTTCCAGGAGCCTGGCTGGAGGGGGTGTCTCTGGTGTGTCACTGAGCCTTATAGCAGAGGAAGGGGGCTATGGTGGAAACTACCTCCAAGATACCACTCAGTCCTAAGCTGGGGAACAAGCTGAGCTTGGATTCTGGTAGTGAATGAACCGGGAAACATTTATTTGAAGGGTTCTAAGAGTAGCATCGTGTGGGTGCGTTAATTGTATGTGAAGGGGAAGATCCTGAGAAAACAAGAGCTGCTCCACTCTGTGCCTGGGTTTACCAGAGGGACCGATGAGGTCCTCACAAGACCCAGGAATCCCACCGGGGGAAGGAGGCTTAGGGAGATGTGTTTAAGACTGTTAAGTGAGTCACAGACAGAAGCAGATCAAGCCATCCCACCACCTAGGTTTGTGGTTTTGTTTCTCCTAAACTTCCTTTCTGTAAGTAGCAGAACCTTCTCATCACCATCCTTCAAAACCTCTGCATTGTTTGAGCTCCTTGTATTTTCTGGAGATTAATCTCTTGCTTGCAAATATTCTTTCCCATTCTGTAGGTGGTCTCTTCACTCTGCTGTTTGTTTCCTTGATTGTGCAGAAGGTTTGCAGTTTGCTATGATCTCATTTGCCTATTTTTGCTTTTGCTGCCTGAGCTTTTGAGGGTTTTTTTTTTTTGTTTTTTTTTTTGAGACGGAGTCTCGCTCTGTCACCCAGGCTGGAGTTCAGTGGCATGATCTCAGCTCATTGCAACCTCCGCCTCCCGGGTTCAAGTGATTCTCCTGCCTCAGCCTCCCTAGTAGCTAGGACTACAGGCGAGTGCCACCACACCCGGCTAATTTTTGTATTTTTAGTAGAGGCAGGGTTTCACCACGTTTGGCCAGGCTGGTCTCAAACTCCTGACTTCAAGTGATCCACCCACCTTGGCCTCCCAAAGTGCTGGGATTACAGGCGTGAGCCACTGCGCCCGGCGTTGTATTGGATTTTTAATTCAGCCCTATTTTCTCCGACATTTGATATTGGCATTTTTGTCTTTTTTGGATATGCTAGGATCATGGTGTCATAATTTAATTTTAATTTTTATTTTTATTTTAAGTTCCGGGGTACATGTGCAGAATGTGTGGGCTTATTGCATAGGTCAATGTGCGCCATGGTGGTTTCCTGCACCTGTCAACCCATCACCTAGGTATTAAGCCCAGCATACATTAGCTATTTTTCCTAATGCTCTCCCTACCCCTACCCCACCCCCCCCCCGACAGGCCCCAGTGTGTGTTGTTCCCCTCCCTGTGTTCACGCATTCTCATTGTTCAGCACCCACTTGTAAGTGAGAACATGCAGCGTTTGATTTCCTGTTCCTGTGTTAGTTTCCTGAGGATAATGGTTTCCAGCTCCATCCATGTCCCTGCAAAGGACATGATCTTGTTTCTTTTTATGGCTTCATAGTATTCCGTGGTGTATATGTCTCACATTTTCTTTATCCAGTCTATCATTGATGGGCATTTGGGTTGATTCTATGTCTTTGCTATTGTGAATAGTGCTGCGATGAACACATGTGTGCATGTATCTTTGCAATAGAATGATTTATATTCCTTTGGGTATACGCGCAGTAATGGGACTGCTTTTACCTGTGCCAAAATACTGAAGTAGAAATGATTATTCACTCTAAAATGGAAGGTAATAAGATGTATACGTGAGCTATCAGATGCCTGGTGCTTATGAGTGAAGACAAGTCTGTCCAACGCTTCCCAACCCTGCATTCAGGGATGTCTCGTTGGCATCTTGATTATGGCCATGAAAAAAGAATTTACGTCAAGGAAATTGGTAAATGCCACTAATCATAGCATTTCAAAAAATGTCTTTTTCAGAATTAGCATACCATTGGGTCGTGACTTCAAATGCCAGTGTGTTGATTCCAGGTGGTGATATTTCAGGAGAAACTACACAGATAGCATCTGATAAGGAGGGAAGAGCTCATAGGGTCCACACAGGAGGTGAGGGCATCACGGTGCATTTATCTTTTCCTGGTCGGACTCTGATCTTCTCCCGTTGAATTAGTTCCTAAACCAGGTGCGGAACTCTGAACTGAAGACATGAAGACCCAGTAAAGTACACCAGGAAGTGTGGCAATGAGAAATGAAGAGGACTGTGTGACACGCCATGGACCAGAGCATGCAGGTGTGCAGAGGTGTGGACCCAACGCTGCCATGTGGGATGGAGCCTCATGTCTAAGTGTGGGAAAAGAGGCAGATCCAACCAAGGAAAGTCAACATTAATGGAGAGGAAAGGTATCACATTTTAATGGTTCTCCATGGATCACCCCAGAAAATGTCCCTGCACTCGGACATTGATTCCTTCCTCTGGAAATGACCAGCAGACAGTCCAGATAGCATCGGCCCTAGATTTTCTTCCAGAACCTCCTGGGATCATCAGATCTGTTCCTGAGGCTTCACGACTCTATAAAGTACATTATCCTCTCTGCTGTTCACCTCCCGGCTGCATCTTGGGAAGCTTCTCTGGCTGTGCCAAGCCTCAAATGACAGAATCCCGAGGACCACCAGGATCAAGCCAGCCACGCCCATGTGGATGAGATTCTCCACTGCGTAATCCTGAAGGTGTGAGGCTGGGGATGGTGGACAAAGAGGTCACAGAGGTCAGGGTGGATCAGATTGTCCACCCAGGGCACCCACCTCCCCTTCACAGGACCCAACCCTCAGTGCCAGCCCCATCACTGAGAGTATCTCCTCACATACCAGTCTCAGAGTCAGACTTGTTTTGTGATGGGCTGAGGGTATCAGCTGCTCCAGAGAATCAAAACAGAGAAAAAGAGACCTGAGCCCAGCCTCTCACCTGGGCTCTGCAATTTTTTTTTTATTACTTAATGTCTCATGATGTGACTTTTACAGAATTTCTAAAAAAAAAAAAAAAAAACCTCTTCCTCCGCTAGCAGGATTCCCTCTAGTCTCCTCATTGAACGATTTCAGTTTTCCTGTGTTCTATGGATTTAAACATTGCTCCTGAGTCATCTGGGAGAGAGTTTTCCTGCATCCTGAGAGCTCAGGATCTGCAAGGAAAGTGGTCCCCAGTACAGAGGTCACTAAGGCCTGTGTGCTCTCTGTGCAGCCTGGGACACAGGAGAACATGAGCCAACTCCCCCGGAGATGAGAGTTTCACGGATCCACCAGCTGAGGACCCAGGCTCCGTGGATGAGGGTTAGTCATCAGGGGAGCCTCAATGTCAGAAGCACAAAGGGGTGAAATTCTGGGGCTGCCTCCCCTTCATGCCCTCAGCCACTTCACCTGGAGTTTCATTGTCCATTTAATCTCTAGGTAGCTAATTATTCGTATAGGCAGCAACAGGTAGAATGTGATACACACACAGAAAAACACAAACACAAATATATATCTGTTTTATATATATAGTGGGCCTTAAAAACTATCTCTGCCTTCTTGAAGTGTGGGTTCACCTGGAGACAAACAGCAAACATATAGAAACACAGCAGTGGAAATTTACTAGTCGTAGCAATGGTTTTAGATATATTGGTAGAGACCTATATTTATGTGTGAATATATATTATTTGTATAGATATACGGATAACTAGGTTTCAATGTCACGTAAGATGTTGGTGTGACCACACACGCGCACACACACACACACACGTATATGCAGAGAGTGGAAGAGAGAGAGAAGGAATTCAGCCGCATGGTGTAGGTTGGTTAATTACTTGACATAAATGAGAAGCAGGCAGGACTGGGCTGAGCTGTGTCGTCAGTGAAGGTCACACTTGGAGGTGACATTGAAGCTGATTCCTCAATAGGAAAAAGGGCCAGGAAGGAGGCGTGTGGAGACCCAGACAGGGAGCAACAGAGGCTCCAGAAAGAGCAGGTCCCAGAAAGGTCTCAGCCTGTTCTTCAGAAAGGAATGGCCGCTTGTCTACAGGGTGGAGGAGGAGGCAGAGGAGGAGGGGAGATGAGCTTCGGGGCCTTGGTGGATTGAGAATAGGCCAGGATGAACCGGCCAGGAAAGAGCGGCCCCAATATCTCTCTCTCTGTCTCTCTGTCTCTGTCTCTGCCTCTCTCTCCCTCCCTCTGAGGTCTGGAAAGTGCTGTAGGGTTTCAAGGAGTGGTACCAGTCATTTGACTTTTTCTGAAAAGATAAGCCCTACCCCCTCCATAGCAAATGTCCAGAACGAAGGAAGTCCACATTTCTACCTGAAGTTTACAAAACCTCAGGGAGCACGTGAGATCAGGGCTATTACGAAACCGGGTGAGAATAAAAATAGGTGATGCTGCAAATCTACTTTCACCAGCTTGGACAAAAAGGCCAATATGAGATTTTAAAAACCCAAATAAAAAATGTCAACGGCGCAGAAGAGGAGCGGTGCACATTCCCTGAGCTGCTGCGGGAGCACGTGCAAGTCCCTGTGAGGCTCAGGTGTGCGCTGAGTGCTGGGGAGGCTGCAGGGGAAAGCAGGAAGTGGGGCGGGGTGGGGGGGGGTCGGGGGTGGATGCAGGTGGCACCGGCAGCCTGGATGCTTCTCTCTCCAGGAGGGCGTCTGTTGGGGACTGGGACACAGAGGCTCTGATTCTGAGGTGGAGACACCAGGATGGGAGCAGGTGGGGCCTCCGTCTTCCACCCTCAGTCTAATCTCAACTCCTTTGAGGTTCACCCCCCGTCTCCTCCCAGCCCTCCCTGCACTTTACTCTACTGAGACTTCAGGGGTGGGAGCCAGGGGTGGGAGGTCCCTGTCTATTTCCATCTTCCCATGGGCTGGACCCTCCCCTGCGGACCCTCTCCCTTCACTCCCCTCTTTCCTTAGTGTCCAGAGCTCTGCTGGGGGCAGGGCCTGAGCTGAGCCTTTGAGCTCAGAGAGGACAGGGTCAGCGCCCTCACCTGAGACCACGAGCTCCACGGGGCCACTGGGGTGAGACAGCAGGTAGGGGTCGGAGCTGAGTGAGCCGTAGCACCTGTAGGTCCCCGTGTGGGCTGAGGTCACAGGACTCATGGGGAATTC